>NC_000012.12:38520734-38672249 GCF_000001405.40 Homo sapiens | reverse complement strand
AATGGGGATTGTAGAAGACTGTGGAAAGTGAGACCTAGATTATCATCTAATTCTTGTTTCCCATTTTAGCATGTGTATAGGGTAATTGTTGTAAATTATTAACATATTAGAGAATAATGGAGAAGTGTTTGTGACCACTGAGTGTTACCATTGGTGCATATTTATGTCCCAAAGTAATGTGAAAATTGTAAAAGCAAATTTAGATATAAAAAGTATTATTTACTGAAAGTATTTGAACATAATGAGTTATATTTACATATCCAAGAAGTAAGGGAGATTAAAAAATGTCTTCTGCATTGGGATAATTATCTTATTATTGGTAATATACAGATTTTACATAATTATGATATATATTGTACACCTTGACAAATTATTGAACAGTAGCTCTCTGTTAATTATGTATACTAGCAGCGTTTCAGCCCAAGCATTGACTCATGAACATGTGTAGAAAGGTAAAATTGAAAACAATGTTTTCAACCCAAATGCATTATCTAAGCACTGAAGAAAAGAGTAAAGAAGTGAGGATTGTATGCTGACTGAGCAGTATTGGGGCCAGGGAGATGGGTGATGAGGCCAAAATTATAATTGTAAGCGGCTCTCTGGAGTCTGGTGAATGTCATGTGTATACAAAATGAATTATCAGTAATAGAATTATACTTTAAGCACAAATTAGCATTCCTCATGTAATTAATTATTTAGAGAATTCTCACTGAAAACTTAATAAACCCTAGAAAATGTTCTTAATTGCAGCACTGCATTACTGTATCACCAGCTGTCCCATTATATCCCAGCATTTCCAAATACCAGCTGATCTAGGAAATGTCAAAATTATTTCTTAATCAACAAAAAAATTGTACTTCAGAAAAATCATACTTTATCCAATCAGTATAAGAGCAGAGAAAATGCCTCTGTTGTTAAATCTATTTGTAAAGTAAAAATCAGGCAGTGTGTGTGTATGCGTGTGTGTGTGTATGTGTATGGCTTTGCTGTAGTTTCAATGAAAATAAAGTTCAACTTGTAATTGAAAATTCTATGATGATTAAGGCCAAGCTTCTTAAATTAGAAAGAAAAATTAAAATTTGATGGATTAACATCACTTGCTCAATCAGTCATGCAACCATATAACCCGAAGTTTAGAACTGGTAGAATGGAGAGATGATAGACCCAGAGACAGTTTCACAGGGTCTACAAAGAGATAGACCCAGAGACTGGCTCTGCTCACCTTTCAAAGAGTCACAAAAGATCTTGGTTCACTTTCTTTGTCTGTAAAATGCACACTTAATCAAGTTTTGTATGAGAAATGAATGAAGACATGAAGGGATCAACATGCTTTCTGTCTTTTCATAGCACATTTTGCTACTTCATACATCTTGATTTCCTTGTTGTCCACATTGTTTTAGTATTTGGCTAAAATGTACTGAATAAATGATCATATTTTCTCTTAAAGCAATGGTCGAATTGGATGGAGATGATGTAAGAGTCTCCTCTAGAGGAAAATATGCTGAAAGAGACATTGTGCAGGTAAGAAATAAACCTTTTCCTACTTTACTATTGCTAGAAAATATCATTGGGATCTTTAACAAAATTAGAAGCTAGAAATATAACAGACTTTTTAATGATGCTTTTCTATTTGTTAGTCTCAACAAAAACTAAATATATTTTAATCTGGTAGATACTCAGAGTGAATAAATTTAGTAAAAATATACCAAAAACTTTGTATGTATTTTCATGCTTCCCTCATACATTATGGTTAGAAAAAATAGAGAAATAGATCCTAAAATATGTCATATATTAAAAAATTACATCTACATATAGAAAAGGCTAGAATTAAGAAAAATACTTAAGTAAAGCGTATTACTCTGGAAGTGAATATAAACAACCAGTAATTAAATGTAGTTCAAATTATAATTGAAAGCAAGGCGTTAATTCAACTTAATAGTTGCATAAAATTTCCATATTTTTAGGATGTCAGAAAAAAAGCTGTGAAGTATATCTTTTTGGATAGGAAAAGGAAGAAGGTCTCAGTACCATTTAAGCACATGGTATCAAAATTTTAAGGGAGCAAACAATGAACTTTAATATTATTTCCTAAATAGTAACATATATATTCACCCATAATACAGTCATTAATAGAAAATAATTTGTGATTGTAAGAATTAAAGAAAGAGGAGAGAAACACAAAGGGTGGCTCGACAGTCAACAGGTTTTCAAACCTGGGAGGGACTTTTGACTGAATTAGATCAGAAACTGCACTCTCTTACAGGCCACGAGTTTTTAAGGATTCTGAGTGGGAGAGTTTATCAGAGGCTTGTACTGCTTCTGTGTCTCTTTGTTGTGCTTACCTGGGAGGGAGAGTTGTGTGTCTGTTCCCATACATCTTTCTGCAACTGCAGGCATATCCCCCGAGTCTGCTTTTAGCTTCCCTATCTTAGCACACATGAAGGGAAAGGAATATGCTTACCAAGGCCCACTGTTTTACTGGGCCCCATGTATAAGGGTAAAGTTTGGCAGTTGCCTAAGAGACTTTCCCTCCCACCTCCCTCTGTGCTCAAGCTGTCTTATCTGTGTTTTACTGTCTGCTCTTTGTGGCTGCTTGTAGTCAGAAGAGAAGTAATTTCCTTAAAATGCATGAGGCTAGAAAGGGAGCTGGAACTTAAAGTGGCCGTGTTTGCCCAAGGTGACTGTGCTCCTGCTCTATCAGGGATCATATAGAATTTGGTTCAAATTCTGACTTTTCCACTATGATAACTTGGATAAGCTTTATAGATTTCAGTGTTTTGGGGGATAAATAGAATTGTGAAGATTAAGTGAGATAATGCATATAAAATATATTCCTGAAATAGAACTCTTAGACAAAAGAACAACAAATAATACTTGAAATAATTTGAGGAAGTAATAATATAAAGTAATCTGTTAGTATGATAATATAAAGAGTAACATTGATAAAGATCAAAAATAATTATTCTTCATTAGTCAGCAAAATTAAATTTTAAAATAAAAACTTCTGTAAAATAGTTTTTTTAAAAAGATAATTGAATATGATGTAAGCTTTTCAACCTAAAGTACTTGATACAGTAAAAATCACACTCACATAAATGATTAGGTTAACAGCAGCTGGGAAAAAGAACCTGGTGATATGGTCATTTGCTTAAGAAGCTCATTATGCGTGTGTGTGTTATTTATTTTATTTTTTTTTTTGAGGCAGAGTCTCGCTGTTGCCCAGGCTGGAGTGCAGTGGTGTGATCTCGGCTCACTGCAAGCTCCGTCTCCTGGGTTAACGTCATTCTCCTGCCTCAGCCTCTCGAGTAGCTGGGACTACAGGTGCCTGCCACCATGCCCAGCTAATTTTTTTTTGTATTTTTTTAGTAGAGATGGGGTTTCACTGTGTTAGCCAGAATGGTCTCGACCTCCTGACCTTGTGATCCGCCCGCCTCGGCCTCCCAATGTGCTGGGATTATAGGCATGAGCCACCGTGCCCGGACCATTATGTGTTTTTTTCATAATTAGACACATGATTATTCACCTTAACCTCATCAGCATAATTATAGGTCTAAGTAATTACACTTTATTTAAAAGCTCTCTAGAATATTTGTTCAGTTTCCAAAAAATTGAATTACTGCATGGAAGTATGAATTTGAAGTCTTTAGAATGTTATGTTGCTGTTCTAATGCATTTTTACCAAGTTAGCAGAGGCAACCTCATATCTCATAGTTCTATTTAAATGATGCTTAAGAGAAGCTTGGTATTACTTTCTTCATTAGGAAATAGCTAAGATTACTCACATCATTAAGGTTTCCTTTCAGAAGACCAATAGGTTATGTTTGTGACAACATATTTGCATTAATAAAAATTGTCCTTGATCACGAAACTAATCAATCAATAGATATACTACATTGAACAGAATATTGAGATAGGACACCAATGATCTATGCAACTATAATTATTTAGTCACTCTGGTCTTGAACAAGTAAAAAAATTTCTCTATCTTTGTTTCATTATCTGTAGACTCCAAATTCTTTCATCTTTGCCCCTCCCATGATGTTGTGAGTCTCAGAGGAAGTAACAGACATAAAATACTTTGTTACTTACCAATAGCATAGGTATATACTAGTATAATTATATAAGTTTTTGCTTCTTGAAAGTCAGAATCCAACCGGGCACAGTGGCTCATGCCTGTAATCCCAGCACTTTGGGAGGCCAGGGCGGGAGGATCACCTGAGGTCAAGAGTTCAAGACCCGCCTGGCCAACATGGTGAAACCCCGTCTCTACTAAAAATACAAAAAATTACCAGCGTGTGGTGGCGGGCGCCTGTAATCTCAGCTACTCAGGAGGCGGAGGCAAGAGAATTGCTTGAGCCCAGGAGGTGGAGATTGCGGTGAGCCGAGATCATACCATTGCACTCCAGCCTGGACAACAAGAGCGAAACTCCGTCTCAAAAATGAAAGAAAAAAAAAAAGTCAGAATCCTTGAGAGCAGCCTATCACCATAAAGTAACATTGGGATTCCAAAGATTTTGAACACACCTGGGGATACAGGTGAACACTCAAGGGATTCTGCCATGTAAAGTTGAACTGAAGAGTAGTGAGGTCTTAACATTTACTGAACAAGAAATTAAAATGTCCCTAGGAAATTAGTAGCACCCTGAATGACAGTGGCATCTTGACTTACATTCCTGCATTGAGTTAGAGATTTGATGTACTCATTTCTACTTTCATAGAGAAGTTTCTACATGGTGGTCAGTACTTTACATATCACATTGATCATTTACATTCACATTGTGTAAAAGAATTGGCACCTCCTCTCTCACCTTGAATAAAGCTAAACCTTCTACCATCAGAGTTTTCCAGGTTCTACCAGTCACTAAACAGTTTTTAAAGCGAATTATTTTAAAGGAGAGAAACACTCTTGAATATTTAGAATAGTGGGGTTGCAAGTGTACATGCAGGATAATATTTTCAATCTTCCCCTGGTCAGAAAATATTGTAAACCAATTCTCTAAAATATTATCAGATAATAGGGTCTATTTAGGCTGTCTTACCTTTTCTCTGCTTTCCATTTCTCACTGCTTGAAGCGAATCCAGTTTATACACACAACACAATTGAAATTCCACATTTCTCAAGTGGACAAAGAAAACCCTAAGGTGGCAAATAATAGTATGTAGCTGAGGTTCAGCAGAATATTGGGGGTAGTAGATAGGGTTTTATTAGTATAGTAAATATTAAATACCTTCCTTTTTGTATAACGATATTTAACCCTTTATTAAGTGTTTCATGTGCTAGGCAGGCTAAGAGCTATAGAATTAAATCACTCAGTCCTTAATTAACTTTATGTGACAGGTACTTTGATTATTGCATTTTACAAAAAAGGACATGAAGCTAGCTCAATTCCTCTTGTCCACAGTCACCCAGCTAATTAGAAGTGAACCAGGATTTAATCCTAAAATGTCTGATTCTAAGATTCTTAACATGTATTCTGTATAATTTTGATTCTAACACCTAAACATGGCATTTAAGATTCTCCGTGACCTGACTTCAAGCTCTTCTTTAGCTAAATACACACAGAAACAGACAAACACACTGTACTTTATCTTAATAAACTAACTTCCCATCATACATTTCCATGGTTCTTGCTTTTACTTTCACTTGTCATTTACCTGGAATACTCTTCCTCCTCATCTGTGCTGATCGAAATCCTATACTTTCAAATTTCTCCACGTATAGCCTGTCACACAGCCCTCTCCAAAGACCTCACTCGCCGCACCTGGATGAATTTTCACTTTGTCCCCATATTACTTTATATCTTCCTAAAAATACCGGTCATTGTTTGTCTCATAGTTATTTACAGATAAGAAAACTGAAGCCAGCCCCAGATCAAAAGTTAAACAACTTTTGGAAAGTTATTTAGGTCATAAGTTGGTAGATCCAGATTTCCAAGAGTGTTCTGGTTCTAAAACCTGTGTTACTCCTATTATAACACACTGTCCTAAAAGACAAAATTATAAAGAAAATTATTAAGATCTATTACCCTTTTTGTATTACTGAAGTGGCTAATCAATTCAAGTCAGATCCATTTGAGTTCAAGTAGTGATTCTGACATACTCAGAGCTGATCCTGGATAAGTTAATTAAACTTTCTAAGTTTCAGTTTCCTCTTACGTGCATTAAAAGTATATAAGATATTTGTGAATATTAAATGACATATTGTGCTAAATCGCCTAGCAGAAGACCTCCCAACTACCAGTTGCTCAATAAATGCGTTATTATCAGTACAGTACATTGGTACAGTCCAGTAGGAAGGCATTTTTTTTGTCATTATTTCATAGTAGCTGTGCCCTAACATAAGAAAATAAGTTACTTAAGTTTTAGAATAATAACCATCCTGCTTACTGTTTATACTATAGTGATATGAAATTAAATATTGAGGCAATGAGACTTAATCACAAATAAAGCTTACTACCTTGTCATAAGTCAATATACGTAAAGGCTTTCTATTTGTTTGTTTATGCTGTGGATTGGCCATTGTGTATAAGGCAGTGCCATTCCGCCTGGCTGCATGTAGCTGCTGGCCAGCTTATCATTTCCTGAAAAATTATATTTAAATCATATTTTCCATTAAAAGGAGAATAATAACCTTGAGGGCTTAGACTTGAAAATCACTAATGGAGCTCTGCACAGTAGGAACAATAAAGCAAAACTGAGCAGAGCAGCAACTAAAAGCCCATTTGCCCAAATGAATTCAAACTTATTTTTACGAATAGGTAAAGCAAGCAGCTAGAGCAGTCATGTGGAACATTTTCCCTACACTTGTGGGTGCTGAAAAAAGATGTAGAGTAACAAGTATACCATACTTCCTATAGAATAAAATGCATTTATTGGTATTCTTTACATGAATGTGATAAATTAATGCAAAGTAAAAATTGATTTATTCTTCTAAACTAAATATTATAAGGGTCTAAATTACCATGTGGTCAACATGCATTCACAAATGTGTGGGAATTATTTTGGACAAAAGTTTCTCAGGTACAGGGATCAGAAATGAGAGACTAATAGAGGTAATAAACAGAGTGGCCTAAGAAGTTGAGTGGAAACCTGTAAATATAAAAGGATATGAGCAATCTTCTAAGAAAGAGGGCAATTTTGTCATGAAAATTTTAAGATTTGAAATAAGAGGTAAAGGAAATTTCTGAAGTCACTTGTCTTTTTTCTCATTTATAAAGTAACACCTTGTGACATGACTGAAGAAATAAATGTTCCTTTGGAAAAGGTTTAGTTTAGGCTAGTGACTTTTTTTTAATCCTACTCCAAATATAAGTGTGGGATGAAGGATACTCCTGTTTGATAACAGTGACTTCCTATGACAGTGGTTCTCAACCTGTGGGCAGTGCCCCCTAATGTCCAAATGGAATATCAGACTCTGTGCTCACCTAACAAACCTAAGCTAAATGTGATGTATACTCCCATCCTAGGTTGAAATTGAGGATTTCTTTTTTACCTATTATTTATAAACATGTTTTAAAGAAGAGTAGAACTGTGTGTATTGTAAGAACAGTGATGATTATGAGCCTTAGTTTTTATGTTCCACAGTGTCATAAAATTATTAAAAGTGAAATTCAGTTTACCTCAATTAAAAAACATCTGCATATCCTGTAGGACTTGCTGAAAAGGTGAAACAACAGTGTTTTAAAATTTGAAAAGTCCAGGAATTACTGTATAACTGATACTGTACTCAAATTTGAAAGAGATAAAATTAATAATAATCTTCCTTATATTTAATGTTTGATATGAATATAAATTGAAAACTATTAACAAATTGCTTTATATTGACTATATAAATGTGTAAGTTAATGAATAGAAATAGTAATTATGATAATGATGGCTTTCATATATAATACATATTACAAATTGAACTGTTACTGTTTAAGCACTTTAAGTTTTAACTTATTTAATACAAAACAATGAAATAGGTATTCTGTAATTATCCTTTTTATTTTATTATTGACATTATACATATTTATAGGGTACAGTGTGATATTTCATTACATGTATGCAATGTATAATTTTTCTATCAGGGATAGCATACCCATATCTCAGACATTTATTTTTTTGTGTTGGGCACATTCAAAATTCTGTCTTCTAGCTATTCAAAAATATTCAATAAATAATCATTAACTACGGTAACCCTACAGTGCTAGAGAACAACAGAATTTATTCCTCCTATCTAGCCGTAATTTTGTATCCATTAACCACAGTCTCCTTACCCCTCTTTCCCCACCTATCCTTCCCAGCCTATAGTAACCACTATTCTACTCTCTATTTCTATGAGATCAACTTTTTTAGCTTACACATATGAGGGAGAACATGTGGTATTTATTTTTCTGTGCCTGGCTTATTTCAGTTAACATAGTGTCCTCCGGGCTCATCCATGCTGCCGCAAGTGACAGAATTTCATTTTTTATGGCGAAATAGTATTTCATTGTGTGCATATGCTACACTTTCCTTATCCATTCCTCTGTTAATGAATGGACTTAGGTCAATGTCATATCCTGGCTATTGTGAATAATGCTGCAATAAACATGGCAATGCAGCTATTTATTTGACATACTGATTTCCTTTCATTTGGATAAATACCCAGTAGTGGGATTGCTGAAGCATATGGTAGTTCTCTTTTCCATAATGGTTGTAATAATTTACATTCCCACCAACAATGTATGAGTTCCCTTTTCTCTACATCCTTATCAATATTTGACATTTTTGTCTTTTTGGTAATAGCCATTCTAACTGGGATGAGATGATATCTCATTGTGGTTTTGATTTGCATTTCTCTGATAAATAGTGATTTTTCAGCATTTTCTCATTTATTTTTGGCCATTTGTGTGCCTTCTTTTGAGAAATATCTATTTAGGTCACTTGTCCATTTTAAAATCAGATTCTTTGTGGGGTGTTTTTGGTTTGTTTTTGTTTTTTGTTTTTTGTTTTTGTTTTTTGTTTTGCTATTGTTTGAATTCATTGCATATTCTGGATATTAATCCCTTATTAGATGAATAAAAGTTTGTCTCTTCACTCTCTTGATTACTTCCTTTGCTGTTGAGAAGATTTTAGCTTAATATAATACCATTTGTCTAGTTTTACTTTTGTTGCATAAGTTTGGAGGCCTTATTCATACAATTTTTGCCTACTCATGTCCTGATGCATTTCCCCTGTGGTTTCTTTCTAGTAGTTTCATAGTTTAGGATCTTACATTTAAGTCTTTAACCCATCTTGAGTTGATTTTTTTTATGGTGATAGATAAGGGTGTAGTTTCATTCTTCTGCATATGGATATCCAGTTATCCCAGCACCATTTAATGAAAAGGGTGTTCTTTCCCCAGTGTATGTTCTTGATGCATTTGTCAAAAATCAGTTGGCTGTAAATATGTGAATTTATTTCTGGGTTCTCTATTCTGTTCCATTGGTCTATGTGTCTGTTTTTATGCCAGTGCCTTTCTGTTTTGGTTTCTATGGCTATGTAATATATTTTGAAGTCAGGTAATGTGATACCTTCAGCTTTCTTCTTGTGGCTCAGAATTGCTTTGGCTATTTGGAGTCTTATGTGGCTCCAAACAAATTTTAGGATTGTGTTTTTCTATTTCTGTAAAGAATGTCTTGGTATTTTGACAAGTATTACTTTAAATCTGTAGATTGCTTTGGGTAGTATGGTCATTTTAACAATATTAATTATTCCAATCCATGAACATGAGATTTTTATTTTTGTGTCTTCTTAAATTTCTTTAATCAGTGGTTTATAGTTTTTATTGTAGAGATCTTTCACCTCTTTGATTAAACGTATTTCTAGTTTTTTTGGCTATTATAAATGAGATTGCTTTCTTGATTTCTTTTTCAGCTAGTTTGCCATTGGTATAAAGAAATGCCACTGATGGTTGTATGTTGATTTTGTATCTTATGACTTTTCTGAATTCACTTATTAGTTCCGACAGTTGTATTGTGGTATTCTCAGGGTTTTCCATATATAAGATCATGTCAGCTGCAAACAGAAATAACTTAATCTCTTGCTTTCCAATTTGGATGCTGTTCATTTCTTTCTGTTGCCTAATTTCTCTGGCTAGGACTTCCAGTGCCATGTTGAATAAGGGTGGCGAAAATGGGCATCTTTCTCTTGTTCAAGTTCTTTGAGGAAAAGTTTTCAACATTTTCCATTCACTATGATATTAGCTGTGGGTTTGTCATATTGGCCTTTATTGTGTTGAGGTATTTTCCTTCTATACCTAATTTACAGACAATTTTTATCCTGAAGGGATGTTGTATTTTATCAAATGCTTTTTCTGCATCTATCGAGATCATGTGTTTTTTTTTTTTGCTTGCATTCTGTTCATATGATGTATCACATTTATTGATTTGCACACATTGAACCATCCTTGCATTCCTGAGATAAATCCTACTTGATCATGGTGTATAATCTTTTTGATGTGCTGTTGTATTTGGTTTGCTAGTATTTCGTTGAAGATGTTTGCATCTATGTTCATCAGGAATATTAACCTGTAGATTTTTGTTGTTGTTGTGTCCTTGTCTGGTTTTGGTATCAGGGTAGTTCTGGCCTTGTGGAATACATTTGGAAGAATTCATTCCCCTTCAATTTTATTTATTTACTTATTTTTATTATACTTCAAGTTCTAGGGTACAACGTGCAGGTTTGTTACATAGGTATATATGTGCCATGTTGGTTTGCTGCACCCATCAACTCATCATTTACATTAGGTATTTCTCCTAATGCTCTCTCTCCCCACGTCCCCCACCCCCAACAGGCCCCAGTGTGTGATGTTCCCCACCCTGTGTCCAAGTGTTCTCATTGTTCAGTTCCCACCTATGAGTGAGAATATGCAGTGTTTGGTTTTCTGTCCTTGTGATAGTTTGCTCAGAATGATGGTTTCCAGCTTCATCCATGTCCCTGCAAAGGACATGAACTCATCCTTTTTTATGGTTGCATAGTATTCCATGGTATATGTGTGCCACATTTTTTTAATCCATTCTATCATTGATGGACATTTGGGTTGGTTCCAAGTCTTTGCTATTGTGAATAGTGCCACAATAAACATACATGTGCATGTGTCTTTATAGTAGCATGATTTATAATCCTTTGGGTATATACCCAGTAATGGGATGGCTGGGTCAAATGGTATTTCTAGTTCTAGGTCCTTGAGGAATCGCCACACTGTCTTCCACAATAGTTGAACTAATTTACACTCCCACCAACAGTGTAAAAACATTCTTATTTCTCTACATCCTCTCCAGCATCTGTTGTTTCCTGGCTTTTTAATGATTGCCATTCTAACTGGTGTGAGATGGTATCTCATTGTGGTTTTGATTTGCATTTCTCTGATGACCAGTGATGATTAGCATTTTTTCATATGTCTGTTGGCTGCATAAATGTCTTTTGAGAAGTATCTGTTCATATCCTTTGCCCACTTTTAGATGGGGTTGTTTTTTTCTTATAAATTTGTTTAAGTGCTTTGTAGATTCTGGATATTAGCCCTTTGTCAGATGGGTAGATTGCAAAAATTTTCTCCCATTCTGTAGGCTGCCTGTTCACTCTGATGGTAGTCTTTTGCTGTGCAGAAGCTCTTTAGTTTAATTAGATCCCATTTGTCAATTTTGGCTTGTGTTACCATTGCTTTTGGTGTTTTAGTCATGAAGTCTTTATTCTATGCCTATGTCCTGAATGGTATTGCCTAGGTTTTCTTCTAGGGATTTTATGGTTTTAAGTCTAAGATTTAAGTCTTTAATCCATCTTGAATTAATTTTTGTATAAGGTGTAAGAAAAGGATCCTGTTTCAGCTTTCTACATATGGCTAGCCAGTTTTCCCAGCACCATTTATTAAATAGGGAATCCTTTCCCCATTGCTTGTTTTTGTCAGGTTTGTCAAAGATCAGATGGTTGTAGATGTATGGTGTTATTTCTGAGGCCTCTGTTCTGTTCCATTGGTCCATATCTGTGTTTTGGTACCAGTACCATGCTGTTTTGGTTACTGTAGCCTTGTAGTATAGTTTGAAGTCAGGTAGCGGGATGCCTCCAGTTTTGTTCTTTTTGCTTAGGATTGTCTTGGCAATGTGGTCTCTTTTTTGGTTCCATAGGAACTTTAAAGTAGTTTTTTCCATTTCTGTGAAGAAAGTCATCGGTAGCTTGATGGGGATGGCATTGAATCTATAAATTGCCTTGGGCAGTATGGCCATTTTCATGATATTGATTCTTCCTAACCATGAGCATGGAATGTTCTTCCATTTATTTGTGTCCTCTTTTATTTCATTGAGCAGTGGTTTGTAGTTCTCCTTGAAGAGGTCCTTCACATCCCTTGTAAGTTGGATTCCTAAATATTTTATTCTCTTTGTAGCAGTTGTGAATGGGAGTTCACTCATGATTTGGCCCTCTGTCTGTTATTGGTGTATAGGAATGCTTGTGATTTTTGCACATTGAGCAGATTGTTCAGTTTCCGTATAGTTGTGCGGTTTTGAGTGAGTTTCTTAATCCTGAGTTCTAATTTGATTGCACTGTGGTCTGAGAGAGAGTTTGTTGTGATTTTTGTTCTTTTACATTTGCTGAGGAGCGCTTTACTTCCAACTCTGTGGTCAATTTTGGAATACGTGCGATGTGGTGCTGAGAAGAATGTGTATTCTGTTGATTTAGAGTAGAGAGTTCTGTAGATGTCTATTAGTTCTGCTTGGTGCAGAGCTGAGTTCAGTTCCTGTATATCCTTGTTAACCTGTCTTGTCGATCTGTCTAATATTGACAGTGGGGTGTTAAAGTCTCCCATTATTATTGTGTGGGAGTCTAAGTCTCTTCGTAGGTCTCTAAGGACTTGCTTTATGAATCTGGGTGCTCTTGTATTGGGTGCATATATATTTAGGATAGTTAGCTCTTCTTGTTGAATTGATCCCTTTACCATTATGTAATGGCCTTCTTTGTCTTTTTCGATCTTTGTTGGTTTAAAGTCTGTTTTATCAGAGACTAGCATTGCAATCCCCGCTTTTTTTTTTTTTCTTTCCATTTGCTTGGTAGATCTTCCTCCATCCCTTCATTTTGAGCCTATGTGTGTCTCTGCATGTGAGATTGGTCTCCTGAGTACAGGACACTGATGGGTCTTGACTATCCAGTTTGCCAGTCTGTGTCTTTTAATTGGGGCATTTAGCCCATTTACATTTAAAGTTAATATTGTTATGTGTGAATTTGATCCTGTCATTATTATGTTAGCTGGTTATTTTGCCCATTAATTGATGCAGTTTCTTCATAGCATTGATGGTCTTTACACTTTGGCATGTTTTTGCAGTGGCTGGTACAAGTTATTCCTTTCCATATTTAGTGTTTCCTTCAGGAGCTCTTGTAAGGCAGGCCTGGTGGTGACAAAATCTCTCAGCATGTGCTTGCCTGTAAAGGTTTTTATTTCTCCTTCACTTATGAAGCTTAGTTTGGCTGGATATGAAATTCTGGATTGAAAATTCTTTTCTTTAAGAATGTTGAATATTGGTCCCCACTCTCTTCTGGCTTGTAGGGTTTCTGCTGAGAGATCCACTGTTACTCTGATGGGTTTCCCTTTGTGGGTAACCCGACCTTTCTCTCTGGCTGCCCTTAATATTTTTTCCTTCATTTCAACCTAGGTGAATCTGACAATTATATGTCTTGGGGTTGCTCTTCTTGAGGAGTACCTTTTGGTGTTCTCTGTATTTCCTGAATTTGAATGTTGGCTTGCCTTGCTAGGTTGGGGAAGTTCTCCTGGATAATATCCTGCAGAGTGTTTTCCAACTTGGTTCCATTTTTCCTGTCACTTTCAGGTACACCAATCAAACGTAGATTTGGTCTTTTCACATAGTCTCATATTTCTTGGAGGCTTTGCTCATTTCTTTTTACTCTTTTTTTTCTAATCTTGTCTTCTTGCTTTATTTCATTAATTTGATCTTCAATCACTGATATCCTTTCTTCTACTTGATTGAATCAGCTATTGAAGCTTGTGCATGCATCACGTAGTTCTCATGCCATGGTTTTCAGCTCCATCAGGTCATTTAAGGTCTTCTCTACGCTGTTTATTCTAGTTAGTCATTCGTCTAACCTTTTTTCAAGGTTTTTAGCTTCCTTGTGATGGGTTAGAACATGCTTTTTTAACTCGGAGAAGTTTATTATTACCGACCTTCTGAAGCCTACTTCTGTCAACTCGTCAAACTCATTCTCCATCCATCTTTGTTCCATTACTGGCAAGGAGCTGTGATCTTTTGGTGGAGAAGTGGCGCTCTGGTTTTTAGAATTTTCAGCTTTTCTGCTTTGGTTTCTCCCCATCTTTGTGGTTTTATCTTCCTTTGGTCTTTGATGTTGGTGACCTATAGATGTGGTTTTGGTGTGGATGTCCTTTTTATTGATGTTGATGCTACTGCTTTCTGTTTGTTAGTTATCCTTCTAACAGGTCCCTCAGCTGCAGGTCTTTTAGAGTTTGCTGGGGGTCCACTCCAGACCCTGTTTTCCTGGGTATCACCAGTGGAGGCTGCAGAACAGCAAATATTGCAGAACTGAAAATATTGCTGTCTGATCCTTCCTCTGGAAGCTTCGTCCCAGAGGGGCACCCAGCTGTATGAGGTGTCTATCGGCCCCTACTGGGAGGTGTCTCCCAGTTACGCTATACGGGGGTCAGGGACCCACTTGAGGAGGCAGTCTGTTCGTTCTCAGAGCTCAAACGCCGTGCTGGGAGAACCACTGCTCTCTCCAGGGCTGTCAGACAGGGATGTTTAAGTCTGCAGAAGTTTCTGCTGCCTTTTTTCAGCTGTGCCCTACCCACAGAGGTGGCGTTTATAGAGGCAGTAGGCCTTGTTGAGCTGCAGTGGGCTCCACCCAGTTCGAGCTTCCTTGCCACTTTGTTTACCTACTCAAGCCTCAGCAATGGTGGACACCCCTCCCCCCACCAGGCTGCAGCCTCGCAGGTCGATCTCAGACTGCTGCACTGGCTATGAGCAAGGCTCTGTGGGAATGGGACCCACCAAACCAGGCACAGGAGAGAATCTCCTGGTCTGCCAGTTGCTAAGACCATGGGAAAAGCACAGTATTTGGGCAGGAGTGTCCCCTTTTTCCAGGTACAGTCTGTCATGGCTTCCCTTGGCTAGGAAAGGGAAATCCCCCAACCCCTTGCACTTCCCAGGTGAAGTGACACCCCGCACTGCTTCAGCTCACCCTCTGTGGGCTGCACCCACTGTCCAACCAGTCCCAGTGAGATGATCCAGGTACCTCAGTTGAAAATGCAGAAATCACCCATCTTCTGTGTCTGTCACGCTGGGAGCTGCAGACCAGAGCTGTTCCTATTCGGCCATCTTGGAACGGACCTGAAAGGCTTGGTCCCAACCACCAAGGAAATACTTTACGGCTCCCACAGTGTCTATTCTCTGGTCTGTGCACAGACTTGTGTGGCTCTTACGGAGGATCCTTTAAGCTAAGTTGCTGGCCAGTTCCTTTCCACGTTGCTGAGAGCTCCCCGCTTCAATTTTAAAAAACAGTTTGAGAAGAATTTGTGTTAGTTCTTTAAAAGTTTGGTGGAATTTGCCATGAAGCCATCTGGTTTTTATTTTATAGAAGAAGAAACTGAGGCAAAGAGTAGAAAATAACCTGCTCAAGATCATGCAGGCAACAGGCAGCAGAACCAGGCTTTGAAACTGGGAAGTCTAATTCCAAAGTTTCTGAGAATAGGGAGGTAAAAACTTAAATGAGTTTAATGTCCATAATGTAGGAGCAAGGTAAAGAATATGAGACCAAAGTTGAGGTAAAGGTAAGATAAAAGAAGCAGGGGAGATCTCCCCTTTCCATAGAGAAGCATCAACTGTTTGCCAACATTTCCATGAAATGTGTGTATTAGCTACATACATTTTCAAAAACAAAGAAAAAAAAAACTCTTCAAAAAAAAAAAAAAGTCTAAAGACCACTGCATGTATACTGACCATACCAACATTACTAAATGTTAACATTTAAAGCATTATACCTTCTAGAATAAGAATTAAGTAAATTATAGTTACAATTAGATATATTTTCTCATTATTCCCTGTGTTGATTCCTATTTTCTCTTTTCTAATTATAGTTTCAGAGAGAAAATTAACCTCAATTTGTTTTTTTTGTTTTTTGTTTTTTTTTTACCTCTTTGATTTTTTTCTGTTAAAAATGTCAAGTCTTGTCCATAGCTAGGGAATAAACACTTCACAAAAGTTCTAATTCTCATTCTCTTCTGAAGGAAGATCGCATTTATTGTTAGTTTTTTTTTTTTCACATCCTTAGCAAGCTGCCTTTCTTGCCCTTAGTAGGAGAAAGATATGTCACCTTTTAAATACCTATTTCTAAAAACTGCTCTGAGTTTCCCTCCTGGAAATAGGGTGTAAAGACAAATAAGGTAAAATTTTAGTCACATACATGTGCTTCCTTGTAATGTCTTATTTTAAAAAGAAAGGAATAGTTTTCTTCTCTTCTTTTAAAAGAGACTACCTTCATTGCATAAAAGGCACTATACCTAATCTTTGATTTCTTAAAATTTTTCTTGGTTTACCTGTAGCAACCTGATCATTTTAAATGCTTCCTTCCAATAATGATTGTTTTCCAGAGGCACATAATGAATAACTTTAAATAAAAAACAAACTTATTTTATTTTTCAAAATAAATGTAAAATGGTATTTTACAGCATGAGACAGGATTGTTCTTTGTCTTCATCCAGGAGAAAAATGATTTAATTCAAATTTTTATATATTGTACTCAAATTGTTCAACATATTAAAATGTCTTCACTTTGCCTTTTCTCTGAAGACCAAAAATTACTGTGCTCTTAAATTATCACAACATTCACAGTTCCAATCACTTCAAAGTTGCATCAAGCATCATTATGCCCCTAAGGGAAAATTGAACTAATGCCCTCAAACAGCACAGTGTTTATTAACTTAAGTAACCATTATAAATGAGAATGGAATCAGGCAATCTATTACAGGAGCATTTGGTATTGAGCCGATAAGGGCTCTCACATAATTACATATATAAAGATATAGTAATCATTTTTATTAAGGGTGGTGCAAAAGTAATTGCGGTTTTTGCCATTGAAAAACCACAAATTACTGCAAAAACTGCAATTACTTTTTGTTCCAACCTAATATATGTTGTTAGAATGATGATATTTCCATAAGAAATATACCCAAATCTTATGCCAAGATCTTTTTTCCTGTCTTCCCAAATAGTAGATACTCAAAAATCAACATCTGATGCAAAACTCAATGTACTGAATATTTCAGCTTCCTATTAATATGAGCTGTGTGAATTCTATATTCATAGTCCATGCGATTTTGTCTTAGAAAGAATTAAAATACTTTAATGTGTTTAGGACTTTTTAACAATGTACACTATTATATTTTACCCTGAATTGGGTAATACTCATTTCTTATCCAGAATTGGGTAGTATTTTTATATCAGAAGCTGAATTAGGCATATATTAACTCCATTTGACAGGAAACCAAGCCCCAAAGAGGTTAAATGCTCCATCCTGTTGGGATTCAGGCTGGGTATAGAACCTAAAACTGCAGAAGACATTTGGCAACATAATAAGCCTATTAGGATTAAGTGACATGAGTTATTGGAGGAAAAACATAGAAAATGATTGCATTCCTTTTGAGATAAAGCATATATTATGTAAGTTTAGTCACTTATAGCTATTTGTAGTGTATTGAATTTTTTTTTTTTTTTTTTTTTGAGACAGAGTCTCGCTCTGTCGGCCAGGCTGGAGTGCAGTGGCATGATCTCGGCTCACTGCAACCTCTGCCTCCTGGGCTCAAGCAATTCTCCTGCCTCAGCCTCCCGAGTAGCTGGGATTACAAGGGTGTGCCACCGCACCCAGCTAATTTTGTATTTTCAGTAGTGACACAGTTTCACCATGTTGGTCAGGCTGGTCTTGAACTCCTGACCTCAGGTAATCCACCCACCTCAGCCTCCCAAAGTGCTGGGATTACAGGCATGAGCCACCATGCCTGGCCTATTGAATATTTTTAAAAATGTATAATAATTGTTATCCATCTCTCCATTACTCTCAGATTCCCTGATTTTCCTATGACCAAATGTGTACATGTGTTGATTTTTTGTGTTTATTACATAGCCTGCTAAAGTCTGTGAAATAACTTTCTTTCGTCTCTGTTTTAGTTTGTGCCATTCAGGGATTATATTGACAGAAGTGGAAACCACATACTGAGCATGGCTAGATTGGCTAAAGATGTCCTAGCTGAGATCCCTGAGCAGTTTCTCTCCTATATGAGAGCCCGAGGAATCAAGCCATCACCTGCGCCTCCCCCATACACCCCACCTACACATGTGTTACAGACTCAAATATGACTGTGCTCTGAAATGCTAATGTCAACTACAAATCAAAAGTGCTGAGTTAATGCTTTGTGCCTGGTGCTCTGTAATGAACCAGGCAATGAGATAGTTTTCTCAGTTTGGTTTCAGCAGTTAATGTGCTTTCTTGGATCCAAATTTAAATATCTTCCTAAACCAAAACTGTAAATATGGTTGTTGCATGAGCAACAGAAAAAATTGTTTAAATGCTTGAAGCAAAGTATGGATGTCTTCTCTAAATCTTTCTTTCTTTTTTTTTTTAACAGAAACAGCTAATTTCCAATGTATTGTTGGGAAAAAGCACAAACTGTGTTTTTAACTCAAATATTGTCTTCGACTGCTATGTGTATAGGAAAGCAGTCTCTGTATCAATGTTTACATGTTACTACTTTTTAAATTTCAATACTTTTATAACTGTTCTTAAAAATAAGAGTTTTAAATACTGAATCCTTTGTCTTCTAAATTGCAATAGCTATAATCACAAGAGCAATATCTCTTTGAATGACTGTCTGGACAAACACAATTGCAAATAAGGGAAGGGAAAAATGCTTTTCTATTTTTCAGTAACTGGATTGTCTTAAGAAACTACATCTGCTTAATAAACAATTTCTCAGCAATGTTTGCTGGGTATGGGAGTTTAAGCCCGGCAGATGTGTCTCCTGGTTGAACATGCATTTTTCATGGAGTTTGGGTTCTAAATTTAGACTGCAGTTGGTTTGTATTTTGTAACACTAAGTAGAAATTATAAAAAGTCAAACATTGTGATCTATAAATGCACAGAAAATACTTTGTAAAAAGTAGCATCCTTATATAATAATGCTATTTAGAAAGACTGAAACCAAGACTATTTAACTGTGAACTATGTAGCAGATGTTTTAAACTTTTTATTCCATTATATCTTGTCTAGATATTTTAATTCAAAGGGATACTGGCTCTCTTGATCGGAATTTCTTGTTATCACCATTCCACGTTGCCACACAAGGTGCACAGGCTGGAAGTCTTTTGTGAAATTCCCAGTTAAATATATACAACTATGTGACTTAGTGCACAACACATTTGTGAAATAACCTACTCCTATATACTGACCTGCCTGTCCACGAATAATTGTAAAGGGTTTTTGCATGTACAGTTTTTACAAGAATTACAGTTTTGTGAAGTTGTGTCTAAATTAAAGCATTTCTTTAGAACAAATGGCCTTAAATTCTCACGGAATTCCTGGAAATGATTGTGAATTGCCTTCAAATAATAGAAAAGTGTATTTATTTGTGTGTGTGTGTGTGTCAAAAATGTAACTGCTTTATAATATTTTTTCCTTACCTATATATTCTATTTAATACTTGGTTTATTTCTACTGTACATTGTTTTCTTTGTCCCAAGTTGACCTAGGGTGACTTTTATAAGCATGAAACTATTTTACTGGAAAGAAAAATATATACATCCACATATCTAACAGTATCAATGTTATATAACTATGTAATAATTGTTGATTTTTAATTATGTATTAAAATCTTTAAATCATAACTATTTGCTTTGTACGTTTCATGTATGAATGACAATAGTTTGATGATTTCCTTTACTGATCTTAAATATTTATGCCACTACAGTGTATTACCTACAGATTTTTAAATTTAGCTTTATTTATCAACCCAAAAAACAAATAAATAAGATCAATATTCTTTTCTTCTTGTCAAACATCAGTTATTTTTTTGAACTGTCCAGAGAAAACAAAAGTTGTACAATTCCTTGTATAAATAATAGATTGCTCAAACCTAGTGGGAGTAAATGGCCAGGAATGAAGCAATTTCTCTTTACAAATGTTATCATTTATATGGCTGAGAATGATAATCAGAAACTTATGTGAAGTTAATGCTACATGTAAGATTAGAAAATACGTAAATCTTGTGTATTCATTGCAAAAATGTAGTAAACCAAGATTGGAGGGATTAAGTGATGTATCCAAGACTATATAACTAGAGAAGAGCTCATTACCATCTTGGAAATATTTGTTATAACTTACATTTTGTTAGTTGCTATTAGGTGCTATGCAATAGGAAATCCCAGAGACATGCTTCATAAAGGAAAACACATAGTAATAGTTGTACATACAAACTGGTTATCAGGGATATTTACACTTACGGTAATGAGCAACAAGAAAGGTATATATTGAGAAGGGGTGATAGATTCAAGTCATTAAACCTGCTGCAGAAGTCAGTCTTCAAGTGGTGCCCTCAAGAACCCCAGAGACTTTGGGCACTGTCCTATCTTTGTAATCTCATTTCCTTCCTCTCCAATGAAAGCCTCTAATTATCATTTGAACTCCAGGATGAACTCTTGGTGTTATTTTCAAGTATCTCCATCATCTGAATTTGCCCAGTTATGTAATACCAATTCCTATTGCTTCTCAAATTAATATTAAAACTAACCAGGCCTGCCTCATTCCTTTTCCGCAACCACTCCGAGTTTACCTGGAGTCTGTCTATAGTGTTCATACTCTGTTCTCTCATCAAGCCCTCTTCTCTGGTCTTTACCTGAGGATATCCTTTGCACTTTCCAACTCAAGCCCCAGCTCCTCTGAACCTTGTTCTTTAAAACTTCAATGCTAACAATAATCAGTACTTTCTATGAGCTCATCTTTGTATTGCATTTCAGCATATTAATTGCCTCAGATTATTTCTAAACTATTTTATTTTATCTGGGGCATCTTGTCTCTCCATCCTTATGGAATAGTATTTAATGGCACCTGGTAAATTTTTAAAGCTCCCCAGTTTATTGTAATGTGTAGCTAGAGTGTGAAATTGCTGCAACTAAAGACTATTGGATGACTCAATTACTACTTTTTAAATTATCTCTTCCAACATGCAATATCGAGAGAAAAGAAGAGGTGGATATGACTCTGGTGGTGGTGAATGTGGGAAGAGAGTGGATTTGGGATTAGGGTTGGAGCATAGGTTATTTTGTTTTTCAGGCTCAGGGAAGATAATAGATGGACTCATGCACTTTTTTTTTTTATTACTGTGTCATCATCAACTTAGGAAATAAAGACCTCTCACAAAGATGAGGTGGATGTGGTTATTTCTTAGAAGACCTGAAATGCCAAAGATTTTACTGAAGAGCATGCCTTTTTCTTTCAGCTTGCGTGAATTTTATTTAATGACTTTGTGTTACATATAGCTGTAATTGAGACAAAGTGGCCAGATTCTTCATAAAAACTCAGAGTAAAGAATAATTTTTGTGATTAGCACAAATCAGATACATTTACTAATAAATAAGCTGCTGAGTTGAGGATCAAATAGATTGAGTGCATGTGGAGTGTTACCTATGAAGATGGAAAAGATGGAAATCTACTTGCAAAAAGTCACACTTGTGCAGAGCTTTCTCATCAGTGTGTTACAGATGATTTACAGATTTATGCCTTGCAGATGGGCTACAGGTGTGCACCTTGGGGTGGTGTATAGTGCCTGGGGTAATTGGAGCTCCCAGCCTCCATCATGTTCATTGGCTAACCTCAGGATATTTTAACAAACATTCCCATTTTTAATGTGTGTCTTGAAATGTAGGGAAGCACTGCATTACAGAGATTATTTCCTAAATAACCTCTGCTTACAGCCAGTTCCACCTTCATTTTTTCTACTTATATGCCCTACGATATTTATACTGAAATTAAATTGAAAGAGTATTCACATACAATTCCATGGCAAATGTATTGTAGCAAATAAACTTCAGAGGAATAAGACATGAATGTCCTTGCATTTTTCACCACCTTCTTCATAAACATCCTACCACTCACGAAAATAGGTGTATCATCAGATGACCCAGAGGACATCAAAGCGTAGAGTCAAAGGGATTCAACCTTGTTATTTCCTTAGAATAAACACTGTTCTAGAAGACATCCTCTTCTCCCAACCATGACTGTTCCCCTCACCCCACTTTCCTACCAAGTATCACTCTATTTGCTCTGTTGATACCTGAGCGTCATTTAACAATAGGCAGTCCTTCATTTTACAAACTATTGGGATGTGCTGAGATCAGATACACGGATCTTAAGAATAAGCACATTTTAAAAACATATTGACATAATTCTTTGCACCAAAATTTTTTCTAAAAAAACCTTTCTTCATCATATCTTAGTTACTTAGGTATGACTTTGATAAGGGAAGACTTGGTATATCATGAACATGCACAAGTTTTAAACGGCTTCCTTAGGAAATGTGAAAGGGGAAATAGAGAAGCAACAAACAAGTATTTTCTCATGAGTTATTGCCTAAGCTATGTTTATAACTCTTAAGAGATGATTATCCTAAGCAATGCTCACCTCCTAGATTTCAGGTTTTTAACCTGGAATGAGGAGATACCAAGTAGAAGTACTTTCCCAACACAGAGTAGCCCATAACAAAATTATTTTTCTTTAAATTGATATGACCCCCACCCCCAGCTACCATTTTACTGTATAGAATCTTACTTCTTTGTCTCTAAGCAAAATATGCTAACATAATACACAGAAGTCTCCAAATATAATGTCTATACTAAGATTATCTCAAAGACATAATAGTTCTAATTCATATCACAAACTTTTGAGCAGTATTTGAGGCAATATATTCACACCTCATCAGTCAGGGTTATTGCTTACCTCATACTTCATCAGCACACCCCCAACCCCAACAGCTAACCTTGCTCTTATTTTCTGGCTTTAGAGATGCTCTGAATGTCAAACTCTGAGAGGAAAATGACCACTGAACTCTGACTATGGAAAGAGCAAAAGCAAACTGATCGAAAGATTTGCTCATTTAGTTTTAAAGCAATAGTGACCATGACCTCATGATTTTCTCACCACAAAGTTATTCACCAATTTAATTTCCATGAAACAGGCCTGCTGGGCATTCCTAATGTATTTAGATAAGCTGATTTCATACAGATGGGATTTGCTATCAGTCAAATGGGTGGATGTCATTGACCTCACAAATTAGGGGGAAGGATAAAGGAAGGAATATGCTTAGGGTTGGCTTAAAAATAGCTACTCTTTCAAAGATCTTTCTCTCCTTATGAAATAAATGAATTAAAAGAAGTTATAAGACTGGTTCAGTAATTTTGACAGAGAACAACCAGTTTGTTAACCCTTACAATTTCTGCAAGATAATGCTGACAAGAAACAATAAATAATGCACCTTTCAAATCTTTAAAACAATATTTAAATCAGAATCTGCTTAAAATTCACAAAATTTTACTATCACTTTCAACCATGGCAAAAGGCATACACTGTAATTTAGACATGGGCAAATTTGTCATGCACTTTAGATGACAATTCTGCACCAGATTTCAAAGAAAGTGGGTGATCCCTGAGAAAACAAAATGACAATCACTAGAAACCACTTTGCATCATCAAGCAACAACTTTTAAATCCCTAAACATTATATGGACCTAACCCATCTCCCTTAAAAAAAAGTCTGTGACATCGGCTTGCAAATCTTGAGATAGGTCATCAGATTAGTCTTGAAAGATGAATTATAGGTGCCTTTTATCTTTCATTTATTTTCTGAGGATATCCTGTTGTTTTCAATCAATGATTTGAAACCTAAATTAAAAGTTACATGTGTGCTTGGTATCTTCTATAGGCTGGTTATGAAATTGCTAGACGCTTCAATGGAAGGAGTGTGACTCATCAATGTGCCATCTACTAAGAGTCAAAAAACCTTAGTTTCCATCTTGGTAGTCTGATTTTGGGAAAATACAACATAAATGTCCAAACTTGATTTTTACCATTCATATAATATGGTGATATTTCCAAGGGTCCTTAAAGCACCCTCCTTCTGCAATTCTCTCAGAAGAACAGAGGTTAACTTTAACTGGAGCACTGGCAACTTGGTTGTTTAATAGTGAGGTGGGACGAGGTTATGAAATAAACTTAATATACTGAGCTATCAAAGTACCTTCTTACAGATTGTGCAGCAAGTGAAACATCTCAGTTTCTTCTTTTACAAGGCAGGTTATTAACTTAGCCATTACTCTTAGTCCTGTATTCTCACCACATTTCTTTTTACCTGAGAACCCAGAGGATATGGGAAAGATGGGAGAAAATGCCAAAGTCCCATTGCTCTGTGAAGGTCTTTGAAACTATTTGTATGCCCCCATGCTTGTGGCACTGAAAAGAGGGCTTCTGGACACACACTCCCTAGTGATCATCTGGATGCTCAGCAGGTGTTTTCTCTATTCTCCTTAAGCACTTGTCTGAAAAAAAATACCAAGGCTACTCAAAACAAGTGTTTCTTATTAGGTAATTTAACTTGATTGATTGCATGATCTCTGCCTCAAATGCTCATCAAACTCCCTTTACTTGGCTAGCTGCTGCTTGTTCTTCAAGTCTCCCCTTTACACGATTCCCTTATAAAGTCCTTCCTTGAAGACATGTACTGGATATAATCTCCTTGTTCTGCCTTCCCACACCACCCTGCGCTTCTCCTCCTGTCATTCATCGCATTTGTAATTCCTGGTCTGTTGGCTGTATTTCAGTTTTGCCCATGAACTTCAGGAGAGCAGGAAGCAGGCAAGTCTTGTTCACTCATCTATCTCTAACACATAACCCAGGGCCTGGCTTTCAGTAGGTCATCAATTGAATTGTGAAAGTGAATAGAATCAAAATATTGGTTACTAAGAATGTTGTATTAGTAACTTGGTATTTTAATATTTTAAGCCTGAATTTCAGTGAATTCAGATTAAGAAGATCTGTAAAATTTTAAAGCAGCACCAAACCTCACTTTTCCCTTATTTATTTTTCCCTCCTTCTAAACCAGAACTGTGAAATTGAATGAAAAGAGGCCAACAGCTTCTCTCTACCTGCTCTCAGGGATAATTACCAGAAAAATGGTCAAAAGGCTGACAGCAGCAGGGGAGAAGAGATTCATAAACCTTCAATACAATCTGATAGCCTGTTGGTCTTGACTCAGGACAGACTGAGGAGAAAGTGTTCACAAGATGCCAGGATCTTATGTCAGCTCTGAAATTTCCTTTGACTAAACATGCTAAACAAAACAATACAAAACAAAACAATAAAAAAGATTATTTTAAGCATATGTTGACCCACATTCTCCCTTAAAAAATGAAAGTGACAAGCATTTATATTTAAGTAGCGGAAAGGTATTCTAAATCCCTACCTTTGCATTTTAGCTGTGTCTGTGTGTATTTCCAAGTGGATTGTGCATGTATGCATATGAGGGTGAATACATGCCTTTGCTTATGCATGTGCCATCATATATGTGTAGGCATCAGTAAAAGTGGAGATAATAAACAAGGGCAAGGGGTACAGAAGAAATGGTAATGCTAACAAGCATTTACTGCCTTTTCTGGTGCTGATTTTATGTACCCTGGAGGAAGTACTGATGACCTGCACAGAATGTGGACAAGAATTCAGGAGGTTAGAACTTTCCAACTGCATTCGTAACAAGACGCGTTGACTTGCAAATCCTACTGTGCTAATATTTATGATTTTTAATATATTCTTACATCATCTGCTTAGCAACAAGCAAGAAGGATTTAATGAATATGAATTTGACTGTGGGAAAGGAATGTGGAGGACTGTAGTTCTTACATATTGATATTTTAGTTGGAAATTCCACCCACTAGTTGATAAGACTGAATTCCATTTAACTTTCTAAGAAGAAATGAATAAACACTCCAAATCCTACCTGCATCCCCCGTTAGATAATCTATTTTCTATAACCATTGGTATAGTAATGACTTTGGTTTAGCATTTAATCGCTTAGAAAGCACTGTCTCGCATGTAACCTTCTGTCTTCCCCTGTCAAAACTCTGCTCACTCACCAATCCTCAGCTCAAATGCTACTTTTCAACAAAGCTTTCCTGCATTCTCTTGATTACTAGAACAATCTCTCTTTTTTTTTTTTTTTTTTCCACAGCCTGTGTATCAGCATTCTACTCTGCCTCCCTAGGGGCAGACTCTGTTTGCAGTGGGGAAGTCTTATGGCCCTAACCCTGTTGAGAGTCAATCTGTCTAGTTGAGGTTAATCAACTGGTAACTTATCTGCCTAAATATATGAGTCATTCTCCTATATGACCTTTGTCAGAAATAAAATTCAGGCTTCATCTTCCATCTGCGTTCCTCCTTTGTCCTATTTTTATTGCTTCAGAGAAGCAGGGGTGATTCCTCTGGACACTCAAAGACCCAAACCATCTCCCAAGGAGTCCCGTGCCTGCATTGTTGCTCATTATCCTGCCTGGCTCTGTGCAGCCCCCCCTTGACTAGAGGTAGTTTCCACTACCTTGCAAGATAGAATCCAGAAGCCTTAGTTTGTGTTCTCCTCTTAAAGTAGAGCCTGGGACCAAGACCTGGGTGCATGTAGTTCATTAGGAAGGCAATCTCCTGGGGCAGGAGTAAGGAACTTGGGAGAGGGAGGAAGTAGGGAAATCCACTATAAGAGTAGGTTATCAAGCTCACCACTGAAGGTAACAAAGCTCTCACTTGTCCCCTCAACTTCTGAGCATAATATGTTCCCTTCTCAGAATTGTCTCCATGAGGACCAACTGCAAGTATTTATCTTTAAGTTCCCATCTCCTGTTGGTTAGGGTTGCCTGCACTTTCCAGGCTGCCTATGTAGGCATGAGGAAAGAGCATTCGAGTTTCTATGGGATGAGAGCCTTTCCAGGGTGAAAAGTTAAAAAACTGCAGTACCTGCTTGAGGTAAGACACTATCTACAAAAATAAGTTGAAGTCAGTATGGAAGCCAGCCATGGCTGAAATGGGACATGAGGCTAAGAGAGTGAGTTGAGTCATTAGAGTCACCTGAAACACATGACCTTCAAGCCCACATTAAGCTGCCATTACCTGTATTTCCAGCGTCCTCTCCTTCCACTTCTCCTTACCACACAGAAGGCAAATTGCATTAAAGTGCATGCGGTTCTACAAATACCCCATTCCATTTCATACTTCATGCATTCCATATGCCAACTCTTTCACATTCTCACTCCTACTCAGCCTCCAAAGCCCTGCTTAGGTGTCTGTGCATAAGAATCTCTTCCTCCTTTACTTTATGTAACTTTTTAATTGAAGTAAAATATATTTAGAAGTACAAAAATTATAAGCACATTGCTTGAGGATTTTTCGCAGAGGAACATATCTAGGTGACAATTTCACAGATCAAAAATACAGCATGTTCAGCACCCTAGTATCCTGCTTTTGTCCCACCATAATCACACACGCCTCCTCAAAGTAATCACTATCTTGATTTTCATCACCATAAGTATTTTTGTCTTATTTTCAAATTTTATATAAATGGAATTATACAATTTGTATTAATTTCTGACTTCTTCCGTCCAATATTTTGTTTGTGAGATTTATCCAAGTACTTGTGCATAGCAAAATTTTTTCTCAATTCTGTTTAGTATTTCCTTGTATTAATATATTACAATTTGTTTTTCTCCTTTCATGAACATTGGGTTATTTTCAGCTTTGAATATTATGAAGAAAGCTTTATGACTAATATTGTACATTACTTTTAATAAAAATACACATCCATTGCTATTAGGTATATACCTAAAAATGCTTATTGCCTTAGAGCTTATTGGTCTGAAATTAGTATATCTAAACTCTACCTCCATCCTATTACTTTCAGTTTTTCTTATCCTTACATCTAACGTTTATTTTGGGGTGGCAGCATTTACTTGAGTTTGCACTTCTGCTTCTCTAGGAACAGGTTTTAAATTTGTAGTGGGGAGGCTTGCCTGGAGTCATGCTGTGCTTGGGTTCATCTGTCTAGTTCTGAAGTTATTAGGGGGCCATTCTGCCACAAGTCATACTCTCCATTGACAATGATAACTTTCATCAGTGATAATGTTGCACCTACATTTACCAGATAAAATACATCATGTTCAGTTAAATTTGAATTTCTGATAAACAACAAATAAAGTTTACTCCCATCCACAGATGTGCTTCTAACATGCATATTTCTCCACATACATGTCTGTTTTCCTCACCATATTGTGAGCTTTCTGAGGATAGGGACTGAATCTTTGTGTGAATTATCCACAGGCACACATGGCCTAGCAGACATTTAGAACTCAATAAATGCAAATTAAAATGAATTGAATGTCCATTGGGTAGAAACTATAAAAGTAGACCAGAACCATACGCATAAAACTTAACTCAAAATATTTTTTTTTTTTTGAGATGGTGTCTGACTGTGTCACCCAGGCAGGAGTGCAGTGGCATGATCTTGACTCACTGCAACTTCTGCCTCCTGGACTCAAGCAATCTTCTCATCTTAGCCTCCCAAGTAGCTGGGACTACAGGCACACAGCTAATTTTTTTCTTTTAATATTTTTTCATAGAGGTGGAGTTTTGCCATGTTGCCCAGACTGGTCTTGAACTCCTTGACTCAAGCGGTCCACCTACTCAGCCTCCCAAAGTGCTGAGATTACAGGTTTCAGCCACTGTGCCCAGCCAAAAGAAAATGTTTAAGTATTTCACCCATTCTACTAACTTTACCAGGAAAAGCATAAAGCTCAACAGAGATTTCAGTGACGTGATCCCTTTTTGATATAATCAGTATTGCAAATAGCTCAGAGACTGTTTCTTCCCTTTCTTATGATGGAAATCATTTCTCCATGTAAAAAAATCAAGCCAGTAGAAAGATATTTTGGGCATGAAATATTATTATAGGTTAAAGTGAAATAACTCTGAAAGCCTCAAACTTCTTTCAGTGGATAAAGACCTTTGCCTACCAGACACCAGCCAACCAACCTTATTGAGCCTGCATCTGCTCTGCCATATGCCTAAGACTTCTACCCCCCCATTTCTATGAAGCAATATGAAGGACCAATTAACCATTTTAGTAACTTTAGTACATTCTCGTTTATGCTTTGTCTTATAATGTTATTTATTTGGCTATTGTTTCCTAGATATGTTAATAAACTCTCAAGAAACCATATTTTTGGGAACAGTAGACACTGGGGACTACAAGAGAGAGAAAGGAGGGAGGAGAGCAGGATTGAAAAATTACCTATTGGGTACTATGCTCACCACCTGGGTGACAGGCTCAATTGTACTCAAAACCTCAGCATTATGCAATATACCCATGTAACAAACCTACATATGTACCAGTGAATCTAAAATAAAAGTTGAAATTTAAAAAATAAAAACACTATTGTTATTGCTTTTAGAAAAGAAACTATCCCTTCAGAACCTGAAAACATTCTCATTCCTAAAGATTGAAACTGCTATAACATATATTCC
The DNA here is from genome assembly GCF_000001405.40 of Homo sapiens. NCBI lineage: Eukaryota > Metazoa > Chordata > Mammalia > Primates > Hominidae > Homo > Homo sapiens. The sequence continues at coordinate 38,642,639 of NC_000012.12, read as the reverse complement.
ATCAAATGTTGAAAAAAATAATATAAATATGGTGTATAGACTTACATAACTCTAGATGGAAAAATCAGGATTAGTTGTAAAGTTGTAAGAAAGTATATTTTGTATCAACATAAGAAATATATATATATATATATATATATATATATTTTGAGACGGAGTCTCACTCTGTCACCCAGGCTGCAGTGCAGTGCACTGCAAAAAGTTAGCCGCCACCACACCTGGCTAACTTTTTGTATTTTTAGTAGAGACGAGGTTTCACCGTGTTAGCCAGAATGGTCTCCATCTCCTGACCTCGTGATCCACCCACCTCGGCCTCCCAAAGTGCTGGGATTACAGGCGTGAGCCACCACGCCCAGCCAAAATAGTTTTTTAAAAAACTTAGAATCCTTTAATTACAGGGTGGATTGACCTGGAGGATAGCAAGTCTTTTCTTCTCTTACTAAATCTGTTTAACAGCAGAGCTGGATGAACTCTTGGGATGTCATAGAAATACATTTTTATAAAATAACTGTATTAGTCTGTTTTCATGCTGCTGATAAAGACATACCCGAGATTGGGTAATTTATAAAGGGAAGACATTTAATTGACTCACAGATCCACATGGCTGGAGAGGCCTTACAATCATGGTGGAAGGCAAAGGAGGAGCAAAGTCATGTCTTACATGGTGGCAAGCAAGAGAGAATGAGAGCTTGTGCAAGGAAACTTCCCTTTATAAAACCATCAGAGCTCATGAGACTTATTCACTATCACATGAATAGCACAGGAAAGACCCACTGTCATGATTCAATTGCTCCCACTGGGTCACTACCACAACACATGGGAATTGTGGGAGTTACAATTCAAGATGAGATTTGGGTGGGGACACAGCCAAAACTTATCAATAACTTTAAAGTTTTCACCTAAATCAATTTGCTCTGTTATATCCCTCAGTTATGTTTCTTCTAACATAAAACATATAAAAATAAATATATAAGCTATTAGTGTATACTGATAAGTATGAGGAAGAAAATAGACTGAGTCATATAATAGGAAGTGTTTGTAATATGATTTGGCTGCATCCCCACCCAAATCTCTCTCTCTTTTTTTTTTGCAGTTGCAAGGTTTAATAGAGTGAAAACAGAGCTCCCATACAATGGGAGGGGACCCAAAGGGGGTTGCCCCTCCCTGCTCAAATGCCTGGGTTTATATCCCAATCATTGTGCCTCCCCCTGTGCTCTCAGGTGATATATGATTTGACTATTTCTTTACCTCCTGCTCCTTAGCCTAATTTGTATTTTAGTGAGCCCTCTTTACTACCTGATTGGTTGGGTGTGAGCTGAGTTACAAGCCCTGTGTTTAAAGGTAGGTGTGGTCACCTTTCCCAGCTAGGCTTAGGAATTCTTAGTTGGCCTAGGAAATCCAGCTAGTCCTGTCTCTCAGTCCCTCCCCTCAACAGGAAAACCCAAGTGCTATTGGGGAGGTTGGCCGATGACAGGTCTCTTAACTGCTTCCTGCTGAATTGGGGCATAGTAGGGGTCGTGCAGTTGAGATTTCCTCAGGAGGGGTGCCTTTGATGTCATTGACATTGGAGCATGGGCTAGCAGGCTGGTCCAAGGGTCCACGGTAGATGTTAGTCATGGACTGCTTCTGGGGCTCCATTTGAAGAACGATTTGTAGTTTTACAGATTTGATTCTTGAAGAGACAAACTTAACAAGGAGGTTAAAGATACAGGGATTGAAATGTATGACCTGAAGGGCAGGGGATTATTTCTTTGGCACTCTTCACAGGCCCTGACTATCTGCTTGATAGTTTTGAAAAGGCCTGGTCCAGTAAATGATTTGGCCATCTGATGGGCGCTATCAATGCCTAAGTGAAAGGTTTGGTGAAGGGTTTTAAGTAATTTCCATTGATTAGCTGCAGGCAAAAGTATTTTCCTTCTTTGGTGGCTAGCCATCCTGAGGGGAGGAAACTATGTCCTCATGAGGTTCCCCATTCTATTTCTTCTGCTGAGTACTGGGGCTTGGTTTCTGAGAAGGGTTACCCCATACTAGGGGTCCTTCTATAAACATTCCTAATGAAGGATCCCGCCTTGTGGCTTTTTTGGCTTCAATATTTGCTTGGCGGTTCCCTTCTATTTCCCTTTCCTTTCCTTTCTGATGACCCTGGCAGTGTAAGACTGCCACCTCTTTAGGTTTCTGTACAGCCAATAATAATCTCCTAATGGCTTCCTGGTGTTTGATAGGTGTTCCCTCAGATGTTAGGAATTCCCTTTCTCTCCATATTGCTGCATGGGCATGGAGGACTAGGTAAGCATACTTAGAGTCTGCATATATATTTACCCTTTTTCCTTATCCTAATTCTAGTGTATAATAGTCTCTGCTTTTGCCAGTATGTCTCTCCCTAACAAAGGAGTGGGGCTTTCAGGCATAATTAGAAAGGCATGTGAAAAGAGTAAAGTTCCTGAGTCACAACTTAGTGGCTGGGAGAAGTATTTAGTGACTGCCTGTCCTAGGATCCCTCGGATAGTGACAGATCTGGAGGACAGTTGTCCAGGACAGGAGAGTAAGACTCAGAAGGCCATGCCAGTGTCCAAGAGGCAGTTAATCTCCTGGCTCTCAATGGTCAAGCATACCCAGGGCTCTGTGAAGGTGATGGCATGGGCTGGCACTTGCCCTGGGCACCCTCAGTCCTGCTACTGGATCATCCGGTTATTGGCTTCTGACTCAGAGGACCTTTGTTCCCTGGGGCAGTGGGCCTTCTAGTGATTCCCTTGACATAAGGGGCATGGACGAGGGGGTGTCTTATTTCTATTCAGACAATCTTTTTTTAAAGTGTCCTTGTAGACCGCACTGGAAGCAAGCCCTATTAGGCATTCGATTTGCCCAGCCTTTCTCTGTTCCAGAGCCTCCAAAGCCTGCTTGCCTGAGGGCCATGACTAAAGCGGTGGCCTTTTTTTTTTATCCCGTCTGTCCCATTCAACCTGCTCCTCCTGATCTCTATTTTTAAAAACCGAGGTTGCCAAGTTAAATAGGGTTTCTAAGTTTTGCTCTGGGCCTAAGGTGGACTTTTTGAAGTTTTTTTCTAATGTCTGCAGTGACTGAGTGATAAACTTATCCTTTAAGATTAGTTGGCCTTCAAAAGAGTCAGGTGAGAGAGAGGTATGTTTCCTCAATGCCCCCCTTAGTCTCTCCAGAAAGCCTGTAGGATTTTCTTCCTTTCCCTGTGTTATAGTGGACATCATTGAATAATTTATTAGGCTTCTTCCTAGTTTTCCTTAGTCCTTCTAGCACACAAGTTAGTAAGTGTCTGTGGCACCAATCTCCATGTTCTGATTCTGCGTCCCAATGAAGGTCTACACTGGGAACTGCCTGCTGTCCTGTGGGAAATTGTTCTTTTTCCTCTGTTGTCATCCTATCATTGACCTGACTGAGACACCAGAGATCGCCAAACTCTCAGGCTGCAGTTATGGCGGCACTTCTCTCATTTGGGGTTAGTGTCTGATCTACCAGTAACATTATATCTCTCCATGTCAGATCAAATGATTGTCCTAGCCCTTGTAAAACATCAACATAGCCATTGGGGTTATCTGAGAATTTACCTAGGTCTATTTTAATTTGCTTCAAGTGTGACAGGGAGAAATGTACATGCACTCTGACTAGGTTGAATTCTCCAGAATACATCTTAGGGGTGTTTTGCCTTGGGGGAAATGTTTCCCATCTGAAAAAAGAACATAGGGATGCCAGCACCCCTAGTCATTTTCCGATGAGCATTAGTCCTAGAGCATCCTCTATGATCCTAATGCTTATTCCTTTCCAGGGTGCATAACCACCCATGGACCTCTGCTTATTGGATTAGTTACACTCACCGATGTAGCAGTCCTGCACCCCATTTCCCACCTTTCTTGACCACAAACAAATGGGTCTGGGCTGCTGGATTCTACTGGTCCTTTACCAGTGTTACCCAACATTGCCTTTGTGCTCAGAGGTGAATTCTAGAGCTGGGCTGGGTTCCTGAGTATTTCATAACAACCCCGCTGCCCTATCAAGATGCATTCCCATAAACAACTGTTCTTATGCAAATTCATTTCAGAGAGAGTGTAGGTAAACTTTTGAGTCAGGATTGAGAGAGTTTTTTTTTTATTCTGTAAGTACTTCAAGGCTTGGCTGAGTGTAAACAGCTTGCACATTTGAGCAGACCAATTATTAGGCAATTCTCCTAACTCTGCTTCCACAAGAGTTTCCCTATCAATTACTGAATACCCATTGTGTTTTTTTCTCAGTCACCTGGGAGGAAACATCTATCGTCCTGTCCTGAAGGGAGTTCCTCCTAGGTCTTGTTGGACCTTTGTATGGTAATTAAGATTTAAATCCCCTGTTAGGAAATCTGCTGGGTTAAGGGATTTTTAGTGGTTAATGTTAAATCACCTTTTTCTAACAGAATAGCCCCATACTCTAAGGTTTTTGAGTTAGTAAGCTACCTTTTTGCTTTTTTTTACTTAGGATAATTCTGAACTGGTGAGGTGTGCTCACAATAAGGTTTCCTCTAAAAGTTACTTTTCTACTTTCTTCTGCTAGCAAAGCAGTTGCCACTACCAATTGAATGCATTTGGGCCATCTGTGGGTTACTGGGTTAAGGACTTCTGATAGGAAGTCTACTGGTTGTCAGTGGTCTCAGTGCTTTCAGGCTATGCCCTTGTTTATGCTGACAACAAGGTAGTATTGGAGTGTTATAGGGTCATGGAGAGAACCTTCAATTATCAATTACAGGTTTTAAATTTACCCTGGCTTTTAAAGGAATAAGGTACACTGTTTTTTCTTTAACTACTTGTATATTTCTTTCTTTCTCTGCCTCTCTCTTTCCCTTCTCTCTCTTTATCTCTTTCCCCTTTTGTCTCTGTTTCTTTGTCTCTCTTTCTCTCTTCTCTCTTTTATCCTAGCCATTTGCAAACTTGGGGCCCTGGCAAGGGTGGTGGGCAATGGGTCCCACATAACTGCCCATGTCAAGACTATATACCTAAATTTGCAGGAACACCAGGGACAAGACTCCTTGAGTTCATAGCCTAGGTGCCTAAGGACACAGCATAGAGCTTCCTTTGATCCCTTTGGAGATACAACCTGCTCTAATACTTGGGAGAGGAAGTGAAAGTCTGAAACATTAGTATCTGGAAGGCAGGGATCGGAGGAAGTAGATTCAGAGGTAAGGAGAATTTTGGGGCTGCACTTTGAAGAAGTCCATGGTCAGGACCCAGGTGGTATGGGTCAGAAGGAGAGGTAGGGGTGCACGCATGGGCAACTGTTGAGTAGAGACTTCTGGCTGTGCCATGATCTCGACTGGCCAATGCTGGGGGTTCAGGATGACAGCTTTCTGACTCTAGTTGGCCCTCAGCTTCCCCCAGGAAAATTGAGAGTGGAAGCTGGTCCCAGGTAGACCAAAGCTCCCAACCCAGAAGGGTTGGGGGTTATTAGAAAGCCCTTCTCTGGACAGCACATCACACCTGAGTCTTAAGTCTGTCAGCCACGCTAATCGTTTTTAACTAGCTGACAGGTGCCCAGTATTTTCCTCCAATTCTAAGGGAGGATAGGACAGAATAGCAGTGAAAGTGGTGCAATATTAATTACCACTTTGGAGAATACCTGTATGGTTGCCACAAAATGTTACGGGGGGCGGTCTTTGTTCTTAGAGCTCCCAAGATGGGGGTGGGCTGCTCCCAAGATGGCAATAAGCCTTTTGTTCTCTGACCTGGAGTTCTTGTCCTCATGGATTCCAAGGAATGGAACCTTGGGCTATGCAGTGAGTGTTATAGCTCTATTAGAAACCATGGGTCATAGAAGAGAACTATGGAACCCAGCAACTAGTGTTCAGCTCGATGAGGACAAACCAGGGCATTTAGCCATGCAGGAACAATGGTGAGCCTTTAAGCTGATTGGGAGTGGCAATGGGTACCTAGCTGAATCAGGAGCACAGTGGACACCCTGCCAGATCCGGAGGGGTGGGAGTGAATGGCAGGTCTGCAACAGCGGCAAACAGCAGTGGTGGACAGCGAGCGAAAGCTCAGCTGAAGCCGTAATAAACACGGACCAAAAGAGTGTGCAGTTGTGAGATTTAATAGAGTGAAAACAGAGCTCCCATACAATGGCAGGGGACCCAAAGGGGGTTGCCTCTCCTTTTGAATTTTAATGCCCGTAATTCCCACATGTCATAGAAGGGACACAGTGGGAGGTAATTGGATCATGGGGGCAGTTTTTCCCATGCTGTTCTCTTGATAGTGAGTGAGTTATCAAGAGATCTGAAGGTTTTTGCCAGGTGCGGTGGCTCACGCTTGTAATCCCAGCACTTTGGGAGGCCAAGGTGGGCAGATCATGAGGTCAGGATATTGAGACCATCCTGGCTAACATGGTGAAACCTCGTCTCTACTAAAAAGACAAAAAAAATTAGCCAGGCATGGTGGCGAATGCCTGTAGTCCCAGCTACTCTGGAGGCTGAGGCAGGAGAATGGTGTGAACCTGGGAGGCAGAGCTTGCAGTGAGCCGAGATCACACCACTGCACTCCAGCCTGAGTGACAGAGCGAGACTCCATCTCAAAAAAAAAAAAAGAGAGAGATCCGAAGATTTTATAAGCATCTGGCATTTCCCCTGCTAGTTTTCATATTCTCCCATGCTGCCTTGTGAAGTGGTGCCTTCTGCCATGATTGTAAGTTGTCTCAGGCTTCCCCACATGTGAAACTGTGAGTCAATTAAAACTCATTTGTTTATAAATTACCCAGTCTCGGATATTTCTTCATAGCATCATGAAAAACAGACTACTATAGTTGGGGTGCTTACTTTAGACTGGGCAATCAAGAGGTCAGCTGAAGTCTGAAGAAAAAGAATCAGCCATTCAAGATCTAAGTGAAGAACATTCCTTGAAGACGGAATAGCTAGCAAAAAGGCCCTGATGAGGGAACAATTTATCATGGGAGCAGATCAGAAAGATGGTGACTGAGGCAGGAGCCTAGTGGGCAAGGGCAGGAGTGGCTCAGAAGAAGGTGGAGGAGGAGAGCAAGGTCTCACGCCCCATGGGTTTCTGAAATCCCTCAATCACGTTGACACATTCAGGAAGATGCAACATCACACTCTTCACATCTCCTCTTTGAATCCTTCACCAAACCTTCTTTTGGGGTTTGGCCATGTCCACAGGTAGCATCATCTCTCTGCAGATAGTTTCATTTCATACTGTGGTCAATCAATGGTATTGTTAGATGCCCATACCCACTCAACGTCTTGTTGTAGGGTAGATGAAATTTCCCCCTTCTCCTGTTGCAGTAAATTATATTAAATTGTGTTATAATTTTTATTGTCTCAAACCCATTTATTTAATCTCTTTATATAAATCAATTTATTTATTTGATAAATATTTTAGCCAACAAATATCTATGTAGTGCCAAGTGATATATGTCAGGCAAAATGTGATTGGGCATAAGTCCAATATGGGAGTAGAACAAGCAATAAATCTCTAATAACGAACACTATGTTGGACACAGAACCATGGGTCCCTCTGCTGACCAATATGTTGTTATTTGATAAAACTGGTTATTTCTGGCTTCTTTCTTCAGAATGATTTTCCTCAAGAAGATGCCACATTACCTCCTGTAACCAGACTTCAGTGGTTCAATCCACCCATTAACAAGATGACACTCTATTAGTTGAGCCTATGGGCAGACTTTGCCTAGACTATTAATGGTCTTAAACATGTTAATGTTTGTGAAATAATAAACTTAACAAAACATGACATTCTAAAATTGGATTGTGGTGATAGATGCAGAACTCTGTAAGTTACTAAAAATCAATGAATTTTACATTTACAATGAGTGAATTTTATGGCATATAAATTATACTTCAATAATTTTTTTTCTAAATCCAGAGGAAAAAATGCCTGCTATAATCCATATGAGCCAATATTTTAGGAGAGATTAATCTAAAAGAATTACTTCCTTTTTAACCTGAAGTTTCAATTACTACAGAAAATATAAAACACTACTTACTCTATCAACATCTTTTGCTTGGTTTACTGCATCTTCCTGATCTCTTCCATGGCACTCTTAACAACAAACTTTTGGTCAACAAATTTCTGAAAGGTATAGCAGCTCACCAAAATTCCCTCTTTAGCGCAGTACTCTTATTATCGAATAATTACAGGATAAGGTTTGCAAAAAGAGGCATTGGCCAGGATTTTTGGACAGGACCCTGGTGAAGAGTCATATGCTGGCCTACTTTTAGGGGCAGAAAGAATTAGGGAACAGATTAAAATTCACAAGGAGATTAACGAACATTTTTTAAGTTCAAATATATGGTAAAAAGCAAAAGTGTGTCAAAATAACAATTTGGCAGGATTCTTGCTTGGTCCACAGCCAGCATCCTGATAATAATTTTTCCTGTATTGGTATGTTAGTTAATTTATGGAATTTCACAGTTCTTTGTCATTGTTATTTTTCATTGGTTTCCTAAACAATGCAGAAGTATTCATTTATTTTTAAATAAAAAGCAATGAGATAAAGAAAAATAAAATAAAATAAATGAAAGTTGAGATTTACAATTTGTAAAAATATATTTCCCTTTTTGTTCTAATCCACTTTCAGTCAATCTTGCCAGCTATCTTTGTTTGGGAATGTTTTCGTAAACTATTACATTGTATAACTTACTTGAGTAAATGCATGGAATTATTAGAGGATTTTTTGAATAAGCATATGGCCTATAGTGAAGGCAGTTAGCCCCATTTTGATATATAAGTGCTTCCATTATAATTAAAAAGAATCTCTTCATCTCTCAGTTAAGTATTATATGAAACCAAAGCCTCCCTGCTTTAGGTGTTTGTGTCGCGAGACAGCTGTAGTAGAAAATAATCATGTCTGGAAGTGTACTATACTGGCAATTAACTTTTAATGACCCATGAAAACCCCAGTATACCTCTAGTTATTTTTTTTTCCTCAATGTCTGAGAAGACCACGGGGCATTTACTGGGGATGAAAGTCTAATAGCACTTTCTGGCCAAATCAGTTTCAAGCCATTTACTTCAGCTACTTATTACACCCTTGGATGTAGCTCAGACTGTTTTCCATTTACATTTTGTCTTTCTATTGCTACGACTTTTCTTCCTTTCTTTCTTTTTTTTTTTTCCTACATAGATCTGCTGCACTGTCAGAATGATTTCTGCTGGTGCTTTGCATACTCTTCACTTTAGTTAAGGTTTGCCATTTATCAAATGTGACCTACACATGTTATTATATTGTTGGATTCTTGCAAGCACAATTCTCCATCTCCCAAAACTGGTTAATGCCCAGTTCATGCCTGGATTGCCAACTTTCTGTAATACTATGCCAATTGGGATTATGTTACCTCTCTGCTTAAATCCTTCAATAATTCCCCACAGCTCTCAGGATAAAATCAAAACCCCTTTGCTTGCATACTTGTCTCTCAATACATGCCTAAGTTCTGCCTGCGAGTTCAGGCTCATTTCTCACCAACATCCCCACACAACCTTTGTTTTCATCCTTTGGAACTTTCTATAGTTCCTTTGGACGTCTTGCTTGTGAGCCTGCAGTTTTCTCCATCTTCATCTTTCTCAATCCTCACTTCTTTCATCCAATTGACTCTTACTCATTAACAAAACATGGCCTTTTATTCTGCCATTCTCTTGTATTTCTTGATCACAGTGTTTACAATACAGTGCTGTCATTGTTGAGTTAATGGCTGTTCTCCTCTAATAACACTTATGCTTCTCAAAAAGAAATACCCATTATTATTTGGCTTTAAACATCATATCCTATTAAATGTTTGTTCATACTGGATATTTGATGGATTTCAAATGAATGAATGAATGAACAAGGAATATGTGTTGGGCTTGGCTCAATTAATCGAATGAATACTGTTACCACTTTATGGGATGAAAATCCTAACAGTCATTCTAAAGTCTTAGAAAATAATTCTAATGGCGTCAACTAAATCTGCATTTTCCCATATGTCTTAAAGCTATAACCATTCTGACCCCAATAAAATGAGCTCAAATCTCCTTCTCATCTTCTCAGCCCTCCCCTTTGCTTAAAAGGCCATGGAAAATGTCTATTTTAGTTTTAAACTCAATGTCCAAACCATAGAATTATTGAATGAACCAGAAGTTGTTAAGTAGCTATGTGTTAAACCAATACTTCTTATTATTCATTAAAATACAAAGACAGATATTTGGAAGCATCTGATATACAAAGACAGTACAGTTTTATCTGTGCTTCAATATCTGATTGATACAAATTTCTTAAGGGATTCCCCTGAGACAGGTTTGAAATATACTGTTAAATGAGAAACTTTATAAAAACCCTCTCCCCAAAACTTGTCTTGTTCTTTGTCTTTTAATTGCTTTAGTCAATATACCTCCTTAGTCAATATACCTTCTCCTATACCTCATACCTCAGGATGGTTTGTTGAAAATCCAAATTGTTTATCTGCCACACCCTAGCACTGTTCCAAAGTACCATATATCCTGGAATAATGACTTGCAAGAGAGACAAAAGCATACTGTAAAGCTTCTGTGTTTAATGTGAATTCTTTCCTGATGAGGCCCAACTGGGACTTGAGAGTTAGGACAAGTTATACCCATTGCCAAAATTGAGGAAATAATCACTGGCTCTGCAAATAGTAATGCACATGATCAATTCAGAAACCAGAAATCACTTTTAAACCTTTCTCTGTCCCCATATCCTGTCACACAATCCATCCCGTCTCTTCTGTATTTTAACTACCTCTCAAATCCACCAACTTTCTCATTTTCCACTAGCACCATCCCGTATGAAACCATTATTATTTCTGACTTCAATCTCCAAAAGCACTCTGACAGCAATCTAACTTACTTCCCTTCCATCTCAGTGGCTGCACTTCTTTGTCCACACTACAGCCAGAGATCTCTAACAGTCTGATCACATTGTTCTCCTTCATTAACTCCATCAAAAGTTTCCTGTTGCTCTTAGGAAAAAGTCTGCAGTTGTTATTGATGCAGGTTCCAGTTTACATCTGCAGGTTTAAGACTTATCCATCCTACCTCTCTTCACTAATTCCTTTTCAAACACACACACAAACACACAAACACACACACACACACACACACACCCCACTGTTAATGCCTATGATCCACTCAATCTTTCAATTTCTTGAGTGTGACATATTTTTTCTTCTCTCTCTGTTGGAGAGAACAACATCCCATTAGGTGCTCCCAAAGTCCCTTGTTAGTGCTTCTGAAGTACCCTGCTATATTATGTTGTACTGTAATATCCTCTTTTTTTTCTTTTAACCAGTGAGTCCAGTCAAGGCCTGACACTGGCTGATACTTTTTAAAGCTCTTATGGGATTAAAAAATAAATGACTGTATTCAAGTTTCAGAATCCATGTTGGTTGGATGGCTTGTCATCATTTATATAGTGCCCTGAACTTAATAGAACAATTAAATTTATCTTCTCTATAGCCAAATGGCATTGATTTTTTTTATCTGCACATCCAGAGGACTTATTCATAAATAACTATGGAGACTGTGATCAATAACAGCCTCCATTAACATCCAACACCAATGGAAAAAATCCTGCTTTAAACTTTCTTAGTTTGAAATCCAATTTGCTATGACATTTTTTTCACATATATCATGCAGTCTCTGCTTTGAAAGGTTTCCAAATATGATTATCTAAGTAATGTACTGATCACAGAAACCAATAATGTGTGAAGTTCTGTGATGACTCCAGGAAGTGCTACATTACTTCAATATCCCAGATAAAGTTAAAATTTTTAAATAAAGAAAATAATTAACACTTTCAATGTATGAGAAGAAAAGTGAGCCAAGAAAGGTGAACAAAATCTCCCTTGAATGGGCTGGTAGAGAATAATTTTTTATGCTTTCTCTTGTTCCACCTAGGACTCTTCTTTATGCATAGTAGTTATTTAACAAAGACTTACTCAATTAAGGCTGTAATACATATAAAAAATGAATACTCTTTTTGTTGTAAGGTTTAGAGTAGAATGTATCTCCTTGTGTTGGAATCTTCTGTTTACAGAAGAAAAACAAAAGCTGATCTGTTCTAGAATATGTTTCCTTAAAGCCTTCATTTGATTATGTTGCATTTAGCATGAGTGACTCCATTTTGGTTTGGTCTAGTCTGCTGGGGCCTAGTGTATAACCTCAGTCCAAACAATTGCCTCCCATAATTTTGTTTTTAAATTTTCCCCCTTTTAGTCATGTTCTCACTTTAAGTGAGAGTATGACTAAAACATAGAGCCTTAGCATCACTGTCAGTTACCATCATTTTGGATTTCTGGTCTCAGCACATCATTCATAGGTTACAGTGCCCTCAGGATTACACATTTCTTTGAGCTCTTGCCATTCCAGTTGGAGAAAGACCATATGACATTCCAGAGATGGCTGCATGCAAACATTTACAACCTTTGAGAGAATACAATGCACTAGGTAGACTACTATGGCTATCAGGAGAATAATGCCAAGAGTTTGGAGTATGCTCCTTAGCTAGAGTCCCCATGAACCAAACCAATCAGAATCAAATAGATCAAAGAATGTGCTACATAAAGAATCTACTTGCTTTAGTCAAGCAGCCTGCTCTTAATCCCCTACAACTGAATCTATTTAATACTCGCTGTATTTTTCCATGGGCAATAAGAAGTGTTACTAAACCCACTGTTCTGCTATTTCCTAGTGAGTTTCAAGACTAAATAAGTACATTTATGATGGTGATAGTGACATCAATGACTAAACTTTTGGTCAATACCTCAAAATTGAGAGGATAACTAAAAGGGGGAAATTGTTAAATCAAGTTTAGCCTAAAGAGGCCTCCTTACATATTTTAAGTTTAGATTAAAGGTTTATCTATACATAGTAAATTATAACCTAAATGGAGGTATAAACAGATTGTAACTTACTCTTGTAACAATGAGTTTTGGCCAAAGGGGGCCAAGTGTTCAAACCATACTCAAATAAGGCAAATGCCGAGCTGTAACCAATCCGGCTGTTTCTGTACCTTATGTCCATATTCTGGACATCATTTTCCTTTTCCTATCCACAAATCTTCTTCCATCACATGGCTGCGCTGGAGTCTCTCTGAGCCTACTCTAGCTCAGGAGGCTGCCCAAATCACGAATTGTTCTTTGCTCAAATAAACTCTGTTAAAACATTTTTTAAATTAAATACTTTTTATCAGGAATTATTGTTATAAAATATTCATTGTTTCCCGATTACTGATTAAATATATTTTTACAGACAATTCTGCCTAGTACTCCTAAAAACATCCTACTGAAATTCTACTCTTTTAACCTTGCCCTGTTTGGGATTGCATAATATATTTGCAAAAGAGAGATAACTATCTAAAATCACATCTGTGCAGATATTAGTGTCAACAACACTATGTATGTTCTGTTTATTCTATTGCCTATTTAACCTTTTGGATGAGTTGAGTAGGTAATGAAGCCTTGCCTGTTTAATCCTATGAGATGGATTGCTGTCCTAACTTCCGTATCTTTTAACTCAGTTGAGGCTGTTTATTCATTTATCAAACATTTAAGGAGAACCTATTACCTGTATGTTTATGAAGCTGCACAAGATAATGGAGATTCAGCTGTGAGCAACAAAAGCATGTTCCTGCTCTCATGAAACTTACTTTCTAGTATAAGTGACAGAGAACAATAATTAAGTTCATAAAACTGGCTCCTGACCTGATCCATTTTAAAAGATCAGTGACACATAGTCATTATTGTTTGGATAATTAGATTGTGAAAAATAAAGGAATTAACTAGATAATTTGTGGGAAGAAAAGAGCAAGTTTTATCTAACTTACCCAGACCTGCTCTTAACATCTTTTACTTGGGAATTATACATTCTCAACATAAAAGGGACCTAGTTCTATTTTGTCAGTGTCATAGAACATTACATCTATGTTAGTATTTTAACAAAAATTCTACTACTTTTTTTCCTTTAAGTAAATAAATTCCATCAAAACTATTTATAGCTCATTCATTTTTCTAAGCATGGGGTATTTATAGATGTAAAGAGATACAGTGCTTTTCAACCAGTACCAATATCACAGAAAATCTATGATGGAATACCCAGTTGCAAGACATTTCTTCTCTTTCATGTAGATGACTATCTGTGCCAAAGCAAGGATTAGGTAATTGCCATAAAAGCACTCTTATCTTATGAAGCCTCCTGGGTAAATAAACATAGGACACATTTAACTCTGGTTAATTAGAAAAATCTTTAAACTTCTAGGTTTTGATATTTTTATGTGTAGGAGAGGATAGGCATAAAAACATGGAATAAGCAGACCCTCTACAAAACAGTAGTTTATTGCTAACCAAATACTACTTTCCTTCTTTGCTTCAGTGGAAGATTGTGTCTATTTTTCTTTTTTTTCTTCATCATAGTAATTTTTTTTATTATTATTATACTTTAAGTTTTAGGGTACATGTGCACATTATGCAGGTTAGTAACATATGTATACATGTGCCATGTTGGTGCGCTGCACCCACTAACTCGTCATCTAGCATTAGGTATATCTCCCAATGCTATCCCTCCCCCTTCCCCCCACCCCACAACAGTCCCCAGAGTGTGATGTTCCTCTTCCTGTGTCCATGTGATCTCATTGTTCAATTCTCACCTATGAGTGAGAACATGCGGTGTTTGGTTTTTTGTTCTTGCGATAGTTTACTGAGAATGATGATTTCCAATTTCATCCATGTCCCTACAAAGGACATGAACTCATCATTTTTTATGGCTGCATAGTATTCCATGGTGTATATGTGCCACATTTTCTTAATCCAGTCTATCATTGTTGGACATTTGGGTTGGTTCCAAGTCTCTGCTATTGTGAATAATGCCGCAATAAACATACGTGTGCATGTGTCTTTATAGCAGCATGATTTATAGTCCTTTGGGTATATACCCAGTAATGGGATGGCTGGGTCAAATGGTATTTCTAGTTCTAGATCCCTGAGGAATCGCCACGCTGACTTCCACAATGGTTGAACTAGTTTACAGTCCCACCAACAGTGTCAAAGTGTTCCTATTTCTCCACATCCTCTCCAGCACCTATTGTTTCCTGACTTTTTAATGATCGCCATTCTAACTGGTGTGAGATGGTATCTCATTGTGGTTTTGATTTGCATTGCTCTGATGGCCAGTGATGATGAGCATTTTTTCATGTGTTTTTTGGCTGCATAAATGTCTTCTTTTGAGAAGTGTCTGTTCATGTCCTTTGCCCACTTTTTGATGGGGTTGTTTGTTTTTTTTCTTGTAAATTTGTTTGAGTTCATTGTAGATTGTGGATATTAGCCCTTTGTCAGATGAGTAGGTTGTGAAAATTTTCTCCCATTCTGTAGGTTGCCTGTTCACTCTGACAGTATTTCCTTTTGCTGTGCAGAAACTGTTTAGTTTAATTAGATCCCATTTGTCAATTTTGTCTTTTGTTGCCATTGCTTTTGGTGTTTTAGGCATGAAGTCCTTGCCCATGCCTATGTCCTGAATGGTAATGCCTAGGCTTTTTTCTAGGGTTTTTATGGTTTTAGGTCTAACGTTTAAGTCTTTAATCCATCTTGAATTGATTTTTGTATAAGGTGTAAGAAAGGGATCCAGTTTCAGCTTTCTACATATGGCTAGCCAATTTTCCCAGCACCATTTATTAAATAGGGAATCCTTTCCCCATTGCTTGTTTTTGTCAGGTTTGTCAAAGATCAGATAGTTGTAGATATGCGGCGTTATTTCTGAGGGCTCTGTTCTGTTCCATTGATCTATATCTCTGTTTTGGTACCAGTACCATGCTGTTTTGGTTACTCTAGGCTTGTAGTATAGTTTGAAGTCACATAGTGTGATGCCTCCAGCTTTGTTCTTTTGGCTTAAGATTGACTTGGCGATGCGGCCTCTTTTTTGGTTCCATATGAACAAAGTCTCAGGATACAAAATCAATGTACAAAAATCACAAGCATTCTTATACACCAATAACAGACAAACAGAGAGCCAAATCATGAGTGAACTCCCGTTCACAATTGCTTCAAAGAGAATAAAATACCTAGGAATCCAACTTACAAGGGATGTGAAGGACCTCTTCAAGGAGAACTACAAACCACTGCTCAAGGAAATAAAAGAGGATACAAACAAATGGAAGAACATTCCATGCTCATGGGTAGGAAGAATCAATATCGTGAAAATGGCCATACTGCCCAAGGTAATTTACAGATTCAATGCCATCCTCATCAAGCTACCAATGACTTTCTTCACAGAATTGGAAAAAACTACTTTAAAGTTCATATGGATTGTGTCTGTTTTTCAATCACAATCATCTGTGAGAAATATTGAAAATGCAGCAGCCACTGAGGCACCCATGTAGATAATTAGAATCACTAGAATCCACATGCTATTAATGGACACAGCAGATCCTGGTCTGTATTGTCATAAACTTAGAATTGCACCATTCCTCTGGGATGTCCTTCTACCTGCAGAATCTAAAAATGTATATTCTGGGAAGGGCCCGTTATATAGGGAGATATTTGAAGCTTTTTCAGTAGAACTTAATTCTTGTCATTTACTCATGCATGAAATCATTGAAAGTGTATTTGTTGAGTGTCAGTGTAAGCAAACAAGTGTCAATATAAGGAGATATTACAGCTTTCTTAAAATAATCAAACCTGGATTCTTCCTAAAGTGAAGGGTTGCTCTTGCTTATCTTTCCTTTGAGAATTGCTCTCTAACTCTTGCTGCCGCTGTGACAAGGACCTTTGTATTTCTTTACAGACTAAATGACAGTCAGGTGAATGCATTACAGCATACAAAGATAAACAGTGTGCGGCTCCTGCCTTCAAGAAGATCACATTCAGGAGGATGATGGAGATAAGAAAGCTGATAATATCAGGAAAGTGTCTTATAACTGGGTATTTAAGGAGGATTAGTAGAGCACAGAAGATCTTTTAATTATCGTACATCAAGTAAGGCTCCCTAAAGACAAAGGGACACTGAAGCTAATTTTTAAAATGTGTAGAAAGGAGTTGAGCAAATGAATAAGCGAGTAGAGAAAACAGGATATGGGCATTCCAGACGAAGAGATTAAGAGTACAATTGGCACAGTCATGAAACAGCGCAGCATTTAGGGAAATACAAGCACTTGGGTATGAATGGAATAAATGGCATATTTAAGGAAATAGGATTAAGTAAGTCCAGAGAAGTAGACAGAAGAATATTTATGAAAGACTTTACATCTCAGATTGAGGAATTTGAATTTTGTCTTTGAAGCTTTACGGGAGGGCCACTGGGGATCTTGAGCAGGAAAGTAAAATGATTCCATTTAAATAGCATGAGCTCAAGTGGAATGAGTCTAGAGGCAGAGAGATTTGGAAGGGAGGTCATTGTAATAATCTAGACAAGAAATAATGAGAATCCAAAGAAGTGACGAGAGTAATGATTGCTGGAAGGGAGAGGACAGAACAGTTTTGAAAACAATCAGGAAGCAATCTGTGACTGATTGGGTTTTAGTGGTGAATGAAAAGCAGAAATGTCAAATGCATTCCAGGTTTTGGTTGGGAGAACTGGCTGGACAGAGAACAAAGGAAGTCAAACCTATATTTTATTGTCAAGTTTAAAATATTTGTGATATCTCTATATGCAGAAATCCAGTAGGCCAGTCATATAAAGGTGTGAAACAGAGTAGGACATTCTGGGCTAGAGATGACTATACCAGTATGTAAGGGTTTTTGGTGCTACCGTTAGCCACCTACACTGTCAAAAGAGGTTATAAAATGTATCGTTTAACTAAATAAATGTGTTGTCATATTAGTATTATTGTACAGTATTTCCAGACTTACTGAATCTAAACACACTGAATTAAATAAAATAAAAAAGTATAATTTTTAATAACTTACTAACCTAAAATGTGGATTTCTTCAAAAATTTTACACAGAACCACTTTTACACAGGACCACACTTCAATGCCATAAGATCACATCATAAAAGAGGATATCCAATAACAAGACAGAACAACTGGAACAAGCTACCACTCTTCCTGCTTTATAATTTTATCATGCATGAGATGGGGGAAAGGCCATCATTTGATGATGACCTATTAACTCAAAACAAAAAATGGCCTTGTTTGCCATGCCAGAGAGTTTAGATTTTAGCCACATGATAGGGAGCCATTAAAAGGTTTTACAAGGAGAATAACAATACCAGACTTAATATTAAATAAAGTTAATGCTAGCAGCAGTGGAAATGATGAGATGGAAAGAGGAAAGTTGTGATCAGGCAAGAATTTGGGGGAGTTATTTCAAGAATCCAAAGGAAAGTTTGGTTCATACACTAATAGGAGAACAGATTATAATTCCAGGTACTGGAAATAATAATAGCATTAGTAGTAGTAATAGTTAGCATTTATTGAATACCTATCATGTGCCAGGCACTTTTCTAACCCTAACATTAAGTAGTATTTTACTTAATTCTCATTAGCACCCTATGAAGTAGGCATTATTATTTTTCCCATTTTATATGTGAGGAAACAGATACCAAGAAACAAACACACTCAATATTATACAGCTGGTAAGTTACAGAGTTAGAATTTAAGTTTAGACTCTGCAATTCTAGAGTTCTTGCTTTTAATCATGATGCTTCAAAAGAATCCCTGACAGAAAGAGCGGATATCTATGGGTCATTCTGAAGGCATAAGGCTTGTGTAGCTGTTACGGGTCATCATCTGAAAATTAAAATTCCACCCAAAGCACTCAGATAGCATGTCAATAAACACCAAATAAAGGAAAAAGCAAAAGAGTTATCTGTATACATCTTTGAAAATTATTGGATTTCCAAAACCATTGTATCCAGTGTCAATAACACTCAACTAGGCGTTAGAAAACATATTAGTTTCACTTAGCTGAGTGACCAGATAATTGCTAGGCCTTGGACTCCTAATATACCAGATGTAAGGGCTGGAATAAATTATTTTCAAGACCTTTTCCAGGACTAACACTTGACAATTCTCAGTGTTAGCCAAGAGGGTGCTACAAAGCAGCTATTGGTTTGGCTAAGCAGGCAAAGCCTTGGTGGTCGTAATATGCTTGGCAAATGGTAGATTGTATTGAACAGTAGGGGTGAATGCATTTGTCTCTGTCAAGAATTAATTGTCTCATTCTGTGGTCACCTTCATCTCAGGCTATTGGTTTACTTTGCCTGGACTTCAGTTATTAATAAAAATATAAAATTTGAAAGGTCAGGGTCAGTCTCTACAAAAACATGCCTCATTGATGCAACTTAAAAGGAATTCCAAGGCCAAAGAGAATGGTCACCAAGGGGTCAGGATCTTCTGCTGAGCAACAGCAGAAAACTCAATGTATTTGCTTGCTACTAGGAGCTTTTCAATTCCTTTTTAAAAACATTTGAATAAAATCAACTGGTTCAGATAAAATCAACAGGCTTAAAGTACACAGTAAATCTCCACCTCCTTTTTTAACTTGTGTTCTTTTTCAGAGGGTAACCTCTATTTGCAGTTTCTTTCATATTGTTTCACAAAATGTATTCTTTTTTTTATTATTATACTTTAAGTTTTAGGGTACATGTGCACAACGTGCAGGTTTGTTACATATGTATACATGTGCCATGTTGGTGTGCTGCACCCATTAACTCGTCATTTAGCATTAGGTATATCTCCTAAAGCTATCCCTCCTCCCTCCCCCCCACCCCACAACAGTCCCTTGTGTGTGATGTTCCCCTTTCTGTGTCCATGTGTTCTCATTGTTCAATTCCCACCTATGAGTGAGAACATGCGGTGTTTGGTTTTTTGTCCTTGTGATAGTTTGCTGAGAATGATGGTTTCCAGTTTCATCCATGTCCCTACAAAGGACATGAACTCGTCATTTTTTATGGCTGCATAGTATTCCATGGTGTATATGTGCCACATTTGCTTAATCCAGTCTATCGTTGTTGGACATTTGGGTTGGTCCCAAGTCTTTGCTATTGTGAATAGTGCTGCAATAAACATACGTGTGCATGTGTCTTTATAGCAGCATGATTTATAATCCTTTGGGTATATACCTAGTAATGAGATGACTGGGTCAAATGGTATTTCTAGTTCTAGATCCCTGAGGAATCGCCACACTGACTTCCACAATGGTTGAACTAGTTTACAGTCCCACCAACAGTGTAAAAGTGTTCCTATTTCTCCACAACCTCTCCAGCACCTGTTGTTTCCTGACTTTTTAATGATTGCCATTCTAACTGGTGTGAGATGATATCTCATTGTGGTTTTGATTTGCATTTCTCTGATGGCCAGTGATGATGAGCATTTTTTCATGTGTTTTTTGGCTGCATAAATGTCTTCTTTTGAGAAGTGTCTGTTCATATCCTTTGCCCACTTTTTGATGGGGTTGTTTTTTCTTGTAAATTTGTTTGAGTTCATTGTAGATTGTGGATATTAGCCCTTTGTCAGATGAGTAGGTTGCAAAAATTTTCTCCCATTCTGTAGGTTGCCTGTTCACTCTGATGGTATTTCCTTTTGCTGTGCAGAAGCTCTTTAGTTTAATTAGATCCCATTTGTCAATTTTGGCTTTTGTTGCCATTGCTTTTGGTGTTTTAGACATGAAGTCCTTGCCCATGCCTATGTCCTGAATGGTATTGCCTAGGTTTTCTTCTAGGGTTTTTATGGTTTTAGGTCTAACATGTAAGTGTTTAATCCATCTTGAATTAATTTTTGTATAAGGTGTAAGAAAGGGATCCAGTTTCAGCTTTCTACATATGGCTAGCCAGTTTTCCCAGCACCATTTATTAAATAGGGAATCATTTCCCCATTTCTTGTTTTTGTCAGGTTTGCCTAAGATCAGATAGTTGTAGATATGTGGCATTATTTCTGAGGGCTCTGTTCTGTTCCATTGGTCTATATCTCTGTTTTGGTACCAGTACCATGCTGTTTTGGTGACTGTAGCCTTGTAGTATAGTTTGAAGTCAGGTAGCGTGATGCCTCCAGCTTTGTTCTTTCGGCTTAGGATTGACTTGGCGATGCGGGCTCTTTTTTGGTTCCATATGAACTTTAAAGTAGTTTTTTCCAATTCTGTGAAGAAAGTCATTGGTAGCTTCATGGGGATGGCATTGAATCTATAAATGACCTTGGGCAGTATGGCCATTTTCACGATATTGATTCTTCCTACCCATGAGCATGGAATGTTCTTCCAAAATCTATTCTTTAACAAGCATTTAAAATCTCCTTCCCTTCTACACACATTTAATTATACTTTTCTGAAACTTACCTTCATTAATAAGTATATTGGACATCTCTTTTTATCTATGCACAGAAATAAACATTATTTATTTGCCTGCTGATGAGCCATATTTTATTTACCAGTACCATATTTTCTTAGCTATTTGGCTATACCGCAATTTAATAAACTGTGTGCTATTAATTGGCATTTAGATTTATTTCAGATTTTTACCATTGCAAATAATGCTTCAATGAAGATAGTTTGTACATTCATGTTTGCATGCTTAGGATAAGTTCCTAGATGTGAAATTATGGAACTATGGTTAATTTGAAGGGTTCTTTACATATGAAAAACATTTGTACTTTCTTTACAAATATTAAAAGTAATTTTCCTAGATGTTAAACTTTTTTCTTTATGGTGTTTGGCTAAAGAACTTTAAAAGTATATGTGCAGTAAAAATTATTTCTTTGTAACTTTGATTTATTTCTTTCAAGTAGAAGGGACTTTATCCGCTCAAAGATTATTGCCTTTGCTTTCTCTAGTACTTTAATTTTATTTTTAATATTTGAATATTTGATGCATGTGAAACTTATTTTGCTGTAATAGATGACAAAAGAAACCAGGTTTATTTACTAGCTAGCTCTTTTCACAACATTTATTGAATACTTTATCTTTTCCTAATGACATTTATATGCCAAATTTTATATATAGTATATTTGGGACTATTTCCTTTTATCTAATTTCTCTGTGTTTCTCTACATCAGTATGAATTTTCTTTAATTGAAGTGGCATTTTAATATGCTCAAATATCATGTATGATTATACTATTCCTTTATTCCATTTTTTCTTTCTCTTTTTTAAAAATCGGGTTAAAGACAGCAGAGTTTGATACTGAGGCTAGATGAAAAATGTCCTTTTTATTTTTTAAAGTTTGAGACTCCTAAATGGCAGATTAGACTTATAAGCAAATACAAACATGTATCTAGATTTGTCATTTGTGATTATAGGACTTACATCAGAGCCTCTGTCTCCTACACTCTTATAAACAGTATTATTATGGTATAATTTATCAAAAAATGAACATATTTAATATGTAGAGTTTGGACATATGCAGACTTTTGGGATACCATCACCACAATGAAGGTAATAGACATTTCTAGCATCTCCCAAAGTTTCTTTGTGTCCCTTTGTTTTGTTGTTGTTGTATTGTGATAAAAATGCTTAAAATGAGTTCTCTTAACAAAATTTGAAGTGCATAAATCTGTGCTATTAATTATAGGCACTATGTTGTACAGATCTCTAGAACTTATTCATCTACCCTAACTGAAACTTTATAAGCATTGAACAACTTTCTATTTCCCCCACCCCTCAGCCCCTGACAACCACTATTGTATCTTCTGCTTCTATGAGTTTCACTATTATATTTTCCTACATGTTTTGAATTATATTCAGCCGGTACAATACAGGAAGTTGTATCTTCTTTGGCCAATTCTTATGCTGATACAAATCACAGAGTATACATTTCATGGGCACAACACATGTAAAAGATCAAATAGTTGATAGTTTTGCTTTTTAATAATTCCTAATGTTCAGCACTTCTAATTATGATTAACCTGCAAGATCTTATTACTTAAATTATATGTCATATTTACTATATCTAGTATATTCTGGAAGTTTTTGCATTTGGAATGTGATTTTCTTTGTGTTTGGTTGGTCCTATAAAATATTATATTTTCTGATTAAGTTTGCTTCAGTGACTGCATCCCTGGTGGCAATTGAAAGAGAAGCAGCAAATGTGAGCATCTAAATCTTTACAAATTAATGCCATTGATAACCCTGTTTTGATTACTACTTTAGCCCCCAGTGATAGAAATTTTCTTTATGCTACCAAATTTAGGCACATACACAGAGAGAGCTACTAAGCTACCAATACCAAAGGCTTAAACCTTTCATTAGCACAGTAAGTGAATGTGAACCTAGCATAGACTGTGCTGCACCTCTACAATTTCCTGGTGCACTTTGGAAATTAAGAAGTGGGAATGCAATCAACATGATAATTTGGCCAAGCTCTGGAGGAGAGATTTCAGAGTTAATGTAGAGCATATTTTTAAAAGAATAAATGTAAAACGACCTGAATCTAAAGAAAGGTAATTTTGAGAATGAGTTATTTGAAATAAGTATTCACCAAGTTTAAAATACTTCTAGAAAATATTCCATGTTGTCATAAGGGCATTTTGAGCTTAAATCAAAGACTATCTAATAAATAATGCTCTGATTACCAACCAGAGAACTAGAAGGCATATTTACAGTGCTGCTCTACCAACTTTGGCATTCTCCTAATCTACATGCATTGTACTACTTAATTGATAATTGGAATTTGGAGCTGACCCTTGAAAAAGTATGGAGATTGGTAGTATGCATAAAAGTAAAATATATGTCTTAGGAGAATGATGACCACAAACTGGAAGCAAAATGTATAAAAAATGTATATAAAGTAAATTAGACTAAAAGAATTGGAAACCAACCTATAATCTGTGGTTTAAACTGTATGTATTGGATGATTTTTGCTTCTGTTAAAGTTTTTTCTATGCCATTCTATTTTTGCTGGATGGGTGGGTTGAGATGTGGGATGCTAGTTGTATTTTCAAGGGAACTTAGGTTCAATACAAAGGTTAGCAATATTTGGCTGGGATTAACTGAACATCTGTATGCATAAAATTGAAGTATGAGGAGTTGAGGCAGAAACTTGGGGAAAAGTTACATAGAAGTCCAGATGACTGCTCCATGAAAGGCCAGAAAAAGAGGAGAAATCTGTGTGTAAACCATCAGAATGGAATTGTTTGGTTCTAAACAAACAATTAATATTAATGCCAGTATGGTGAAATTAATGCCAGTATAAAAAGGCAAGTTCAGCCCCTTTTAGTTTCTGTTTGCTCTTCTGTTTCCCACCATGTGATGACACAGCAAGAAGACCCTCACCAGAAGTCTTCTTGGTGACTTCTAACAGTCACCAATTCTAAACAATTCTAAACAGGTTCAAAGAGGGAAGTGGAATGTTGGTGAAGTAATACGCATATATTTCCTTAATCCATAAACGGTTGTCATGGCTTTTTATAAGGAAACACTAAAGACACGGACACTGTCCTGTTCCTGACCTGAAATGCCTAATTTCAATTCTGTCATTCCATTATCTACCAATCCAAACTCAAACCCATTCTTTAAGGGTTGGGTTTACTTATATCTCCTCAACAAAGTCTTCTGTAATGACAAAATTCAGGGATTCTCAATGATGTCTACACAATTAAATCAATAGTGAGGTTTTTGACATTTGTTTTTAGTACCAATGCCCATACCTGATCCTAGGTAAATTTTATCTGGCTCCTAGGAGGTAAATTCTAGGCTATTTTATAGTGGGATATTTTTAGAATTTCCCCAAGTACAGCCAAGGGTAAATTTAGACATTTCTGATCTCTCTTCTTTTGCTGTAATAGAATCCCTGACTTTTAGTTGAAAAAATGGCTCCTATCTACAGTAAAAATTATATTTTCTAGCTTTCCTTGCAGCTTTGTGTAATCATGTGACCAAGATCTGGCAAAATGTATACAGGTAGAAATGTCATGAGATTTTCTTTCTGCAATCATCCTATATTTTGTTACCTAGAATACAGATACAAGAATTTGAAGCCATGTGTGGAAGAGCAACTTGATGGTAAGATGTCCATGACATCCTGAGGAGGCATGCTAACTTTAGACTGCCTTTCAGATGTTGTAAGAGAAAAACAAACTCCTATTTTACTTCTATGTCTTTTTTATTTTTCATAGATAATCTTAATTCTAAAAAAAACAAATTTAACTTCAAAGTACAGTGCTGCACACAACTAAAATATTTGACATTGTTTTTACCAAATAATAAGTAGCAAAGGCACAGATATTGCCAACTATGAAGCTAGTGGCTCCTATTGTACTATGGCCATTAAAAAAAATGTAGTTAAACTGCTGCCATTGATGTCTTGAAAGGCAGTTCACATATCCACTGAGATTGTAGCATTATGACAAATAACAGGAACAGTTTAGAAGACGTCATCTGTGTTGGATGGTTCATTCTGATTTCAATAAAGTAGGCACAGAGCAAATATAACTGCTAAAATAGGCACTTTCTACCTATAACCAGAATTTAAATTAATGGATAGTCTGTAATTTGAGGCTTTGCATGGTTAAAAAGCCAACTACTCTGTACACCAATGTCTCAGTTCATTTCGTGCTGCTATAATAAAACATCAGAAACTTACTAATTTAGAGTGAACAGAAATTTATTTCCTCACAATTCTGGAGCCTAGAAAGTTTAAGATCAAGAGGCTGACTTCTGGTGAGGGTCTTCTTGCTGTGTCATCACATGGTGGGAAACAGAAGAGCAAACAGAAACTAAAAGGGGCTGAACTTGCCTTTTTATACTGGCATTAATTTCACCATACTGGCATTAATATCCCTCATGGTTTAATCACATCCTAAAGGTCCCAGCTCTCAATATTGTTACAATGACAATTAAATTTCAACATGAGTTTTGGGGAGGACAAATTTTCAAACCATAGTATACAAATCGAAACAGTTGTAAATGATGGCTTCAAATACACTAGTAGGTGGTTAAGACTGAAGCAGATTTTTGAAGTAGCTTCCTTTAGGAATTCTCTGCTAAACGTGGGAGAAACAGAAAGCAAATTAAAGATTTTGCCTTCCTACACAAACCTGAAGTTTCAGATGGCCTCAAGCTATCCTCAATTTAAATAAGAGAAGAAGGAATGGGCAGAGCCTGAAGCTCAATAAGTAGAAGACTAGGTTCCAGGCTAATAAAAGATGTCTAATGAAATATTTGGATTTGGTTACTTACACATGGAACTAACTAGAAACAGTGAAATTAGTTGAAGTAAAGAGATGACTATACATGTGCCATATTGGTGTGCTGCCCCCATTAACTCGTCATTTAGCATTAGGTATATCTCCTAATGCTATCCCTCCCAAATCCCTCACCCCACAACAGTCCTCAGATACGTATGTAACAAACCTGCACGTTGTGCACATGTACCCTAAAACTTAAAGAACTTAAAGTATAATAATAATAAAATTAAAAAAAAGAGATGACTATATTTGTGATAAAATTGTTTGGCTAAAGAAATGCCTGAAATAGCCTGTTTTATTCCTAAAACAATCTTTAGTCCTTAAACATCTATCATTAACTGAGTCCCCAAAGTATGCAGTTCCCAAGAACGGCATCCGAAGAAACTTCCAGGAGCAGATCCAAAGCCCATGGAGGGCTCTGAACAAAGAATTTCATTCCAGGGAAAGAATAAGAAGCTACCAGACGGGCTCATAAGAAACTTATTTGATTGTGATAGAAGGAGGTCTTTGCAATGACAGCCCGTAGAAATCTAATAATGTTAATAAAGGATGAGTGGCTGCATGTTTTTCCCTCTCCTTTTTTCCTTTCTATTCTCATATTCTTTTGTGGTAGACAGAAAAATGGCTCCCCCAAAACACCTGTGTCCTAACACCAAGTACCTGTGAATATACCACCTTATTTAAGTGGGCCTAGGACTTTTCAGGTGTGATTAATTTAAGGGACCTTGAGATGGGAGATTATCCTGTATTATGCAGGTGGGCCCAATGTAATGACAGGGTTTTTATGAGGGGGAGCTATGAAAGTCAGAGAGAGAAAGAGATGTGACAATAGAAGCAAAGTCAGAGAAAGACAAAGTCAGAGAGAAAGACAGATTGAAGATTTTATGCTACTTTTTTTTTTTTTTCCTGTTTGAGACAACGTCTCACTCTGTCACCCAGGCTGGAGTGCAGCAGCACAATCATGGCTCACTGAAGCCTTGACATCCCAGGCTCGGGCAATCCTCCTACTTCAGTCTCCTGAGTAGCTGGTACTATAGATACAGGCCACCATGCCCAACTAATTTTTTGTATTTTTTCTTTTTCTCTTTTTTTTTTTTTTGAGATGGAGTCTCTTTCTGTCACCCAGGCTGGAGTGCAGTGCCGTGATCTCGGCTCACTGCAAATTCTGCCTCTCGGGTTCAAGTGATTCTCCTGTCTCAGCCTCCCGAGTAACTGGAACTACAGGCACGTGCCACCACCCCCAGCTAATTTTTTGTACTTTAGTAGAGACAGGGTTCCACTGTCTTGCCCAGGCTGGTCTTGACTCCTGAGCTCAGGCAGTCTGCCCACCTCAGCCTCCCAAAGTGCTAGGATTACAGGCATGGACCACCACTCCTGGCCAATTTTTTTGTATTTTTCCTAGAGATGTGATTTTGCCATGTTGCCCAGACTGATCTCAAACTCCTGGGCTCAAGAAATCCTCACACCTTGGCCTCCCAAAGTGCTGGAATTACACATGTGAGCCCCCGTGTGCAGCTTGTTGCTGGTTTTGATGATGGAAAAGGGAATAAGAACCAAGATGGCCTCTAGAAGCTGTTAGAGGAAAGAAAATTAATTCTTCCCTAGAGCCTCCGAAAGAAACACAGCTCGGCTGACTCTTATGATTTTAGCCCTGTAAGTAACACCCATCTTTGATTTCTGCCCTCCAGAAATGTATAATGATAAATTTGTAGTATTTTAAGCCACTAGTTGGTGGTAATTTATTGTAGCAGCAATGAGAACTTAATACATCTCCAACATAGTTCCAAAAATACTTAAAAATTTCCGCGATACTTCCTCCAAATATTTGAATGGATGAGCTCTAATGTTTAATATCCAATACATTTTATATATTTTATACTTAGGAATATACAAAAATACTCTCTGCAACACACACATACACACATTTTGCAGGTGTATTAGTCTGTTCTCACACTTCTATGAAGAAATACCCAAGACTGGGTAATTTTTAAAGGAAAGAGGTTTAATTGACTCACACACATGGCTGGGAGGCCTCAGGAAACTTACAATCATGGCTGAAGGCAGAGGAGAAGCAGGCACCTTCTTCACAAGGTGGCAGAGTGGAGTGAGTGCAAGCAGGGGAAATACCAGATGCTTATAAAAGCATCAGATCTCGTGAGAATCACTCATTATCATGAGAATAGCATAGAGGAAGCCACCCTCATGATCCGATTACCTCCACCTGGTCCTGCCCTTGACAAGTGAGAATTATGGGGGTTACAATTCAAGGTGAGATTTGGGGGAGGGACAAAAAGCCAGACCATATCAACAGGTGAGAAGATTTTTGGTATCTCTCTTGCTATTTTTTCTGTTCAGGCAAACGTACTTATTTTCACTGCTTATCATGCTTTAAAACAATTCTGAATTTTGAAGGATGTGAAATTTTATTTCTTCTTTTTACAATGATCTGCTCTCCCTTTAAAATTATATCTTATTGTAGGTCAAACATGGGTCAGAATTTATATCCTGCATGGGAACTTTCCTGAATAACCTGGGAGAACAGCCTGACAGTCTTGGCTGTCACTTAAGCAAGTCACTTAGCATATCTGAGCTTTATTGTCTAATCAAAAATTATAACAGTCAGTTCTGTTTGATTTTATTGTATTTGTACCATGGATTAAGCAGTGCTGTATTTCATGTAACACTATAGGGACTTAAGTGAACTTGGAAGTGAGCAGGAAGAATATTTTATGGGAGTGAAAGCCAATTCAATCAGGTAACCAATTGAGAGTTGAAGGCAATTTAGCTTTCTCTTATCTATGTGAGTAAAAATAAGACTTTCGAATGGAAAATAGGTACACTATCTTCTACCTAAAATGTATTAGAAGATCTGCTCTCCATAGACCACAGTGAGCAGAAAGAAAATGCTATTAAGTCCTTAGTTCTATTGTCTGTTTATGAAGAAAACCTTGATTGTAACAATGATGGAATTGGTTTCCAATGAATGTCATTGACCTCTTCCAGGAAAATTAGATTTAGGAATTGTATTGGTCCATTTTTGCATCACTATAAATACCTGAATCTGGGTGGTTTATAAAGAAAAGAGGTTTAATTGGCTCGCAGTTCTGCAGGCTTTATAGGAAGTATGGTGCTGGTGTCTGCTTCTGGTGGGGGCCTTGGGAAGCTTAGAATCATGGCGGATGGCAAGGGGGAGCCAGCATGTCATACGGTGAGAGTAGGAGCAAGGGAGACAGTGGGGAGATCTCAAACTCTTTTAAACGACCAGATCACGTGTTAACTGAGTGAGAACTTACTTATCACGAAGGGGATGTTGCTAAGCTATTCATGAGGACTCCACTTTTATGATTCAATCATCTCCCATGAGGCCCCACCTCCAACATTGAGAATAACATTTTAACATGAGATTTGGAGGGGACAAATATTCAAACCATGCCAGAAATCAAATTTAACCTCCCTTGTCTCTTTTAGCAATTGTATGTATGGTATCTTCAGGTTTTGTGTGTTGCTTTTTTCCATACAATTTGTTTGATGTTGTGTGTTTTATTTTACTTTTTAAGAGTTTATTTTGCTTTTTCTGGAATATTTTAGCTATATCTCTGTGTCCACTCAATTTAATGGACCTAAATTGGAAATAGAATCCTTCTGAGATGGAAGAGGACTCTGGCAGCTTTAAGGAGTGCTAGATTGCTTTAGCTTTGATGAGCAACTTTAGCGTTCATAGTATCGGAAACACTTTGGAAGATTAGTTCCAATAAGTTCACAGTAGTTTCAGCTGAAGTGCACTAATCACAATTACTAATTCTTTTCAAAGACTGATAAAGTGATGCTCCTCAGGATTCTATATGTTACCATCCAGTAGACATCTCAAAATAGAAAGCAGTCAGCATGAAATAGAGAAAGTGATATCTGCTCCAATGACATTAATGTTTTTCTTACAGCATGATCAGTCTCATTCTGCAATACAGTGCCATCAAAGGAATTTCGTTCTCGTTTACTACAACATTCTTTCATTTTATGGACCATTCATTGCTTCAAAAAACACAAAAAGAACCCTATTTCCAACAAACAAACTAACAAACAAACAAAGCTTCTTTTCTTTTTTTAAGACAGAGTCTTGCTCTGTCACCCAGGCTGGAGTGCAGTGGTGCTATCTCAGCTCACTGCAACTTCCACCTTCCATGTTCAAGTGACTCTTGTGCCTCAGCCTCCCAAATAGCTGGGATTACAGGCATGTGCCACCACACCCAGATTATTTTTGTGTTTTTAGTAGAGATGGTTTTATCATGTTGGCCAGGCTTGTCTCAAACTCACAAACTCAGGTGATCTGCCTGCCTTGACCTTCCAAAGTGCTGGGATTACAGGTGTGAGCTACCACACTTGGCCCCAAATAGAGCTTTTTGATAGCTAAAGCATTGCTATAGGGAATGGAAATTTTGGTACTTTCCCATTTATTAACTCTTTCCTTGACTATTGTTACTACCTAGAACCTTCTGCTCTATTTGGCTTTGTTATTATTGTGTTGGTACAAAAGTAATTACAATTTTTACCATTGCTTTTAATATTTTAATATTGTATGTGTGTGTGCATATCTCTTGACTGTTTTCTACTGGATACTTTAAAAAAGTAACTAAATAATGCAATATTCATTATGAGAAAAGGTCTATGAGAGAGGAAAAATGGAAACGACCAAAAGGTCCCAAAATAGAGATTTAGTTGGTTAATTTAAGACATTTAGGACATACAAATATAGTTAGTCTTCAGTCAATAAAAATGAAGCAATGAAAAATCAATGACATAGGAATATCTCTATCCTAATGTGAAAAGGAGGTTAAATATGGCAAACTCAGTAAACGTGATTCTTCTCTGTACTGCCACAAAAACTCCTCCTGAAAACACTGCACTTCTAGAGAAAAATGACTGAATTCTTGGGAACAACACGTTAGAAAAATGTACAGCCAAACTCACCAAAAGACAACAAAAGGGAGGAGATATTTGTTCATTGCTGCAAATGACAGTGAAACATAAAACAGAACTTTTAGCTGTTACTGAAGTCGCTTGGAGGTATGAGAGCTGAGATAAAGTTGAGAGATCAGGATATTGTTACTCATATTGGAACAAAAGCTGTGCTTTTGGCACAGCTGGAATGGAACCCTCTTCAAAGAAAAGAAAATAGATGTCACTGTTGGCTATAATGTCTATGAAAATTGGACTAGAAAATCCACAGGTCCGGGGAACATCAGGAATCATGTCAATTGCTCAGAACCATAAAAGGAAAAAAACATAACCTTGAAGAAATGGAAACTCTAATCCCAAATCACAGGCTGTGAGGTTTGAATGTTTACCACCCATGTGGTAGGAAACCAAAAGTTAATAATTTAACATTGGCCCACAGTAAGACTCCCACAAATAAATCTGCCCTCACTGAAGATGAGACATAAAAAAATTTAAACTCCACATGAAAATTAATTACCCTAGTCAACAAATGTGAACAATAATATATGAATAGCTAGCAATAAAAGAACAATACAAACATGACTATGGAATGTCAATGTTTAACATTGTTTAACAATGGGAAATTTAACGTTTGTTAACATTGTTTAACAATGTTAATTGCTTAATGTTTAAAGAGATACAAGAAGGATAAAATCCATATTGAGGGAGGTATGGGAATTGTAAAAGACTAAATGTGAAACAGAGACAAATCAAATCTCTAAGAAAAATATAATTAATAAAATTATGAATACAAAGGACAGATTATACAGAACAGTAAATTCAACTAAAGAGGGATAGTATATAGAAAAATCAATTTAGTGATGTATATAGTGAGATAAAGAGATGAAAATACAGACATGAAAGAGAGTAAATGAAGGTCTAACATATAGTAATAGGAATTCCAGAATTAGCAAGAAAAAAGGTTGGAAAGATCATAGACAAGGGAAGATAATAGTTGATAATTTTCTAATAGTAACATTATTAGTTTTCAGATTGAAGATGTTCAAAATGCCTGATGAGTGAAAACAGAGTCATTGATACGTACGCATCTCACGAAAACTGAAGAATATCAAAGAGAAAAATAAAATTTTACAAGTAAATTTTCTGCTAGTTTCTGTTTCTCCTTTACAGCTGTAGCTCCAATTACATATGTCTTAAACTGTCTTATACTATCACATAGGTCACTGATATTCACTTAATTTTTCTTCAATCTTTATTCTTGCAGTTCTCCAGATTTAATGTTTTCAATTCTGTATCATTGAACTTCACTGATTCTTTTACTTTCTCCAATTTGTTGTTAAGCTGTTCAATTAATTTTGATTCACTTATTATATTTTTAGATTTAAAATTTTTATCTGGCTCTCTTTTATACTTTTTATTTCTTTACTATGACTCCTCATTTTCCCATTCATTAGGACTGTATTTTTTTTTCTTTTTCTTTTCTTTTATTTTTTTAAATGGAATTTCATTCTTGTTGCCCAGGCTGGGGTGTAGTGGCATGATCTTGGCTCACTGCAACCTCCGCCTCCTGGGTTCTAGCAGTTCTCCTGCCTCAGCCTCCCAAGTAGCTGGGATTACAGGCATGCACCACCACGCCTGGCTAATTTTTGTATTTTTAGTAGAGACGGGGTTTCACCATCTTGGACAGGCTGGTCTTGATTTCCTGACCTTGTGATCCACCGGCTTCAGCCTCCCAAAGTGCTGGGATTACAGGCGTGAGCCACCGTGCCCGGCCCTGTATTTTTCTTTTTAAATTTAACTTTTATTTTAAGTTCAGGGGTATATGTGCAGATTTGTTATATAGGTAAACTTGTGTCATGGGGGTTTGTTGTACAGATTACTTTGTTATCAGGTATTAAGCCTAGTAGTCATTACTTATTTTTTTTGATTCTCTCCCTCCTCCCACTCTCAACCCTCCACGGTCTGGTGAGCCCCAGTGTGTGTTGTTCCCCTTTGAGTGGCCATAAGTTCTCATCATTTAGCTCCCACTTATAAGTGAGAACATGTGGTATTTGTTTTTCTGTTCCTGTGTTTGCTTGCTAAGGATAATTGCCTCCAGCTTCATGCGTGTTCCTGTGAAAGACATAATCTTGTTCTTTTTTATGGCTACATAGTATTCCATGGTGTACATGTACTACATTTTCTTTATCCAATCTATCATTGATGGGCATTTAGGTTGATTCCATGTCTTTGCTATTGTGAATAATGCCGCAATGAACATACACATGCCTGTGCATTTATATTAGAACAATTTATATTTTTCAGGTATATAACCAGTAATGGGATTGCTGGGTTGAATGGTATTTCTGTCTTTAGATCTTTGAGGAATCGCCACACTTTCTTCCACAATGGTTGAACTAATTCACACTTCCACCAACAGCATATAAGCATTCCTTTTTCTCCACAACCTTGCCAGCATCTGTTATTTTTTGACTTTTTAATAATAGCCATTTTGACGGGTGTGAGTTGGTATCTCATTGAGGTTTTGATTTGCATTTCTCTAATTATCAATGATGTTGAGCTATTTGTCACATGATTGTTGGCTGCATGCATGTCTTCTTTGGAAAAGTGTCTATTCGTGTCATTTGTCCACTTTTTAATTATTCTTTCTTGTACATTTGTTTAAGTTCTTTATAGATGCTGGATATTAGACTTTTGTCAGAAGCATAGTTTGTAAAACTTTTCTCCCACTCTGTAGGTAGTCTGTTCACTCTGTTGATAGTTTCCTTTGCTGTGCAGAAGCTCTTTAGTTTAATTAGATCCCATTTGTCAATTTTTGCTTTCATTGCAATTGCTTTTGGTGTCTTCATTATGAAATATGTGTCCATTCCTATGTCCAGAATAGTATTGCCTAGGTTGTGTTCCAGGGATTTTATAGTTTTGGGTTTTACATTTAAGTATTTAATCCATCTTGAGTTAATTTTTGTATATGGGATAAGGCTGGGGCCCAGTTTCAGTCTTTTACATATGGCTAACCAGTATCTCAGCACCATTTATTGAATAGGGAATCATTTCCACATTGCTTGTTTTTGTCAGATTTGTCAAAGATCAGATAGTTGTAGGTGTGCAGCCTCATTCTCGTCTAAACAAGGAGCTGAAAGCTCTCTACAAAGAGAACTACAAAACACTGCTCAAAGAAACCAGATATGACACAAACATGGAAAAAACATTCCATGCTCATAGATAGAGAGAATAAATATTATTAAAATGCCAATACTGCCTGAAGCAATTTATAGAATCAATGCTATTTCTATTAAACTATAATTGACATGATTCACAGAACTAGAAAAAGAAACTGTTTTAAAATTCTTATGGAACCAAAAAGGAGCCCAAATAGCCAAGGCAATCCTAAGCAAAAAGAACAAAGCTGAAGGAATTATGCTACCTGATTTCAAACTATACTACAGGGATACAGTAACAAAAACAGCATAGTACTGGTACAAAAACAGACACATAGACCAATGGAACAGAATAGAGAACCCAGGAATATATTTTTCTGTAAACCCTGGATCTATTTATGATTGCTGCCAGAAGGATCTGGTCTCTAGAAGGCTGGAGCATTCCCAGTGTCACTGCTGCTGTGGACTGGGAAATCAGAAAAGGGGCCTCTGGACACTGCACTTGCTGTCCCTCTCCACCACATGCACAGAAGAATTGGTATTTTGATATTGATTGCATTGAGTTTGTAGATTGCTTTGGATAGTATTGACATCTTAAGAATATTGTCTTCCAATACATAAACATGGGATCTTATTCCATTTATTAATTTATTTATCATTTTTCATTCCTTTCAGCAGTGTTTTGTAGTTTTCAGTATACCGTAGTTCCCACATTATCAGTGGTTTAGCATTCTGCCATTTCAGTTACCCAAGGTCATCAAGGTTCAAAAATATTAAATGGAAAATTTCAGAAATAAACAATTCATAAGTTTTAAATTATAGGCCATTCTGAGTAGCATGATGAAATCTTGTGCCATCCTTCTCTGTCCTGCCTGTGATATGAATTATCCCCTTGTCTAGTGCATCCACACTGTATATACTACCTGCCCATGAGTCACTTAGTAGCTTACTCAGTTATCAGACTGATTGCTGCATTATTGCAATGATTGTGCCAAAGTAATCCTTATTTTACTTAATACTGGTCCCAAGGTGCAAGAGCAGTGATGCTGGCATATTGTTATAATTGTTATGTTTTATTATTTGTTATTGTTGTTAATCTCTTACTGTGTTTAATTTATATCGTGGGTATGTACATACAGAAAAAAATCATTGTGTGTGTGTGTGTGTGTGTGTGTGTGTGTAGGTTTTATTGCTATCTGTACTTTCAGGGATTCACTGGGCATCTTGAAATGTGTGCCTCTCAGAAAAATCAGGACTAGTGTACAAGTCTTTTACCTTTTGTGTTGGGTTAACTCCTAAGTATTTTATTATTTTAATGCTTTTGTAGATGGAATTGTTTTCTTAATTTCGTTTTTGGATTGCTTATTAGTTCTGTATATGTCTGTTAGAGATACTCATTTTATTGTGTTCTCTATTTTTTTTAACTTATCTTCTGTCTGGTTGATCTATCTATTATTGAGAGCAGGGTATTAAAGCCTCCAACTATTATTAGTGCATAGACAATCAGCTTATTTTTGCATGTGGATTTTGTATTCTGTTAATTTTCTGTATTTGTTTATTATTTCTTTTATTTTCTTTCTTTTTTTTTTCTTTTTGAGACAGAGTCTCTTTCTTCCACCCAGGCTGGAGTGCAGTAGCGTGAACTTGGCTCACTGCAACCTCCACCTCCCAGATTCAAGCAATTCTCCCTGCCTCAGCCTCCCGAGTAGCTGGGATTACAGGCATCTGCCATCACACACAGATAATTTTTGTATTTTTTTTAGTAGAGACGGGGTTTTGCCATGCTGGCCAGGCTGGTCTTGAACTCTTGACCTCAGGTGATCCACCTGACTTGGCCTCCCAAAGTGCTGGGATTACAGGTGTGAGCCATCATGCCTGGCCTGTTTATTATTTCTAACAGTTTTCTTGTGTAATCTTTGGGGAATTCTACATGTAAGATCATATCATCTAAGTACAATGATAATTTTATTGTTTCCTTTCAAATTTTGATGCCTTTTACTTCTTTTTTCTTGCTGAATTGCTCTGGCTAGGATTTCCAGTACCATGTTGAACAATAGAAGTGGTGAGAGTAGGCATCCTTGCCTTATTCTTCATCTTAGAGGAAAAAATTTTAATCTTCCACCATTGGACACTGAGTATAATGTTCACTGTAGCTTTTCATAAATATTTTTATCCTTTCTGTTAATGTGGTTTATACATTAATTAATTTTTGAATGATGAGGCATCCTTGCATTATAGAAATAAACCTCACTTGGATTTTTGTATTCATGTGCATCAGGGATATTGGTTTGAAGTTTTTTTTACTTGTAATGTCTTTTTCTGGCTTTGGTATCAGGGCAATATTGTCCTCATAGAATGAGTTAGAACGTGTTCCCTCTATTTCGAATTTTGGAAAAATTTGAGAAGGATAGATGTTAGTTCTTAAAGTGTTTGGTAGATGCTATGGTTTGAATGTATCCCCCAAAGTTCATGTGTTGGAAACTTGATCCCCAGTGCAGTGTATTGGGTAATGAGACCTTTAAGAGCTGTTTAAGTCATGAGGGCTCCACCCTCATGAATGAATTAATGCTTTTATCACGAGAGTGGGTTTGTTATAAAAGGGGGAATTCAGCCCCCTTTTCTCCTTCTTGCCCATGTGATGTCTTCTGCCAGGTTGTGATACAGCAAGAAGGCCCTCACAAGATGCCAGCCTCTTGACCTTGGACCTCTCAGCCTCCATAACTGTCAGGAGATAAATTTCTGTTCTTTGCAAGTGATTCGGTCTCACGTATTATGTTATAGCAGCAGAAAAGAAACAAACACAGTAGAATTTACCAGTGAAGCTATTTGGTCTAGAGCTTTTTCTTTTTTAGGAGTTTTTGATTACTGATTAAATCTCCTTACTAGTTATAGGTCTATTCAGATTTTGCATTTCTTTGTTATCCAGTTTTTGTAGGCTTTATGTTTCCAGGAATGTGTTCATTTCATCAGAGTTATCCGATTTGTTCATATACAAAGTAATCTCCCATAATTATTTATATTTCTATAGAATTCATAGTCATATATCCATGTTCATTCCTTATTTGAGCTTTCTCTCTTTTTCTTAGTCAATCTAGCAGTATGTTTGTCAATTTTATTAATGTCTATGAAGAACCAACTTTTGGTTTTATTGATTTTTCTCTATCATTTTTCTATTCTCTATTTTATTTATCTCTGCTCTGATCTTTACAAATGCTTAACTTCTAGCTTTACATTTAGTTAGGTTTTTTTTTTAATCATTCCTAAAGTTTTAAATCTAGGCTATTGATTTGAGATTTTTTTTAATGTAAGCTTTTATAGCTATAAATTTCCCCTTCGGTACTGCTTTCACTGTGTTTCATAAGTTTTGGTATGTTCTGTTTTTATTTCCATTCATCTCCATATATTTTCTAATTTGCCTTGTGATTTCTTTTGATCCATAGATTAAGAGTGTGTTGTTTAATTTTTACAAATTTTGTGAATTTTCTAGTTTTTCATCTGTTACTGATTTCTAACTTCATTCTGCTGTGGTAGAAGACACTTTGTATGATATCTCTTTTTAAATCTATTGGTATTTAATTTGTAGCCTAACGTATGGTCTGTCCTGAAGAATGTCTGATGTACACTTGCATATTTTTTTGTTTTTGTTTAGAAGGTTCTGTATGTGCCTATTAGAGATAACTAGTTTTATTCTCTTAAGTTCTCTATTTTTTTTTTTTTAACCGATCTTCTGTCTGGTTGATCTATCTATTATTGAGAGTAGGGCATTAAAGCCTCCAACTATTATTGTAGAACTATTTCTTTCTCCTTTAAATTCTGCTCATTTTTGCTTTCTATAATTTGGTGACTTGTCATTAGGCATGTGGATGTTTATAATCATATCTTCTTGCTATACTAAACCTTTTATTAGTATACAATATTTTGTTTGTCTCCTATAATTTTTTTTATTTAAAATATATTTTGCCTGATAGTATGGCCATCCCTACTCTCTTTTGATTACTGTTTGCATGAAATATCTTTTTCTATCCTTTTACTTTCAACCTATGTGTATCTTTGGATCTAGAGTGAATCTCTTATAGACAGCATATAGTTGAGTTATCTTGTTTTTTACCCATTCTGCCAATCTCTGTCTTTTGATAGGAGAATTTAATCTTATTACATTTAGAATAATTGCCGATAAAAAAGAACTTGCTTCTGTCTATTTGCTATTCATTTTCTGTATGCTTCGTATCTTTTGTCCTTGATTTCCTGTATTATTGTCTGCTTTTGTGTTTAGTTAATTTTTTGTATTAAACATTATAATTACCTTCTCATTCTCTCTTGTGTGTATTCTATAGCTACTTTTTATGTGTTTATCATGGGATTATATTTAAAATCCTAAAGTTAATGCACTCTAATTTAAATTTTTACCAGCTTAACTTCAAAATCCTACAAAAATTATGTTCCTATACATCTCTGGCCCCATTCCCTTTCAGCTATTGATATCATAAAATTACATCATTATATATTGTGTATCCAAAAATATAGACTAGTAATTGGTTTTTAATACACCAATCTCATAAATTATGTAGAAAACCAAAAGTGAAGTTACAAACAAAATTTAAAATAATGTTAGCTTTGGGCCGGGCGCGGTGGCTCACGCCTGTAATCCCAGCATTTTGGGAGGCCGAGGCGGGCGGATCACGAGGTCAGGAGATCGAGACCATCCCGGCTAAAACAGTGAAACCCCGTCTCTACTAAAAATACAAAAAATTAGCCGGGCGTGGTGGCAGGCGCCTGTAGTCCCAGCTACTTGGGAGGCTGAGGCAGGAGAATGGCGTGAACCCGGGAGGCGGAGCTTGCAGTGAGCCGAGATCCCGCCACTGCACTCCAGCCTGGGCGACAGAGCGAGACTCCGTCTCAAAAAAAAAAAATAAATAAAAAAAATAAATAATAATAATAATAATAATAATAATGTTAGCTTTGATGATTGCCTATGTATTTTACCTTTACCAAGATCTTCATGTCATTGTACGGCTTCAAGTTTCTGTCTAGTGTCCATTCATTTCTTTTTTTCCAATTTGACTCATTTTATTAATAATGTTTCCCACACAATCACTCAACTATTTAACATAAGTTTCATATATTCTATTGCATCTAAAATAAATTCCTTAAATGCTGACAGATTCTTAATAAAAATAAAAGTTATAGAAGGAGGGAGACAAAGAAGTTCATTTTTTACAACATTTTTCTTTCAGTGTTCAGATTAATATCTTCTCTTTTCTGTCCTTAAAATATTTATATGATTCTAAATAATTTCCACTAAGTGCAATGCTACAATACTATCTCTTCTTTTCCTTCTTTTCCTCTCTCCTCTTCTCTGACATTCCATTTCTTTCATTTGTTTTTCCTTCTCAACACACACACACACACACACACACACACACACACACACACACACACTCTAAAGGTCTCAGTTGATAGAGCAAGGCAGCAGATGAGCTAAATACTTTAGAACAGGAAGAGGCTCTCTCTCTTTCCGAAAATCACATATCACAATAATGTCCTTTTATTTAAAACTGGAGGACTCCCTTTACCATTTATTGTAGGTCAAGTCTAGTGGTAACAAACTTCCTCTGGGAATGTCTTAATTTCTCCCTCACTTTCGAAGGACAGTTTCATGAGAGATAGGATTCTATTTACTGTTTTGATATTTATGAAGAGACTAGGGAAAATATAAATGTTCAAAAAACCCAAGATTTTATTTTGGGTAAACAATGCTAGTGTATATGAATTTTTGTTAGATCCTAAAAATAATAACTTCTATGACAGAAATTTCAAGGATGTTCTATACCAGGTTTTGTAAATACTAGGATGTAGATCATGACATATAGACCCTGCCAGGTTTCATCAGTAATGTGATGTGTTCTAACTAGAGAGCTGTACACCAGATTTTTATTGATCCTCAAATGAATCAGCATTATCAGTTTGATCAAACATTTGCAGAAATTCAAGAATCAGTGGTTTTGAGAGAGTAAGAGCAAAGGAAGAAAACATCCTGAAATGAGAATTATAAACACATTTTCCAGTAGATACTTGAAGCCTCTGGTAGATTGGTTACAAAGCTGGCATGGATTTGCAAACCAGCAAGATCCAAATCTAGTCACAGCTCACCTCACCCCAAATATTCCTTCATCTTTTTACTCAGACTTGGTAAGATAGCCAACAAATCAACAGCTCAGAGTGAGAGTAAGCACAATAAAAAAAAGCAAACACTAAAAAAAACCCTGAGGCATTTATTTTTAGTGATTATTTCCACCTGGCAGAACACAAACCTCTGTGAGACAAATAAATCCTGCCACTGCTAAGACCAGTTAGCTATGACACTTGTCAAAGGTCACAACAGCATGCAGGGAGATTTATTTCTTACTTTATTACAGAGGGATGTGGATATTCCATTCCTCAAAAGATGTTATTTTGAAGATTAAGAAGAAGTATTTTTCAACATCATATTTTAATACAGTGCACAGGAATGTATTTAAAAAATCTCTCCTTTTATGGGAATCCAACACACACACACACACACACACACAATCAAAGCATAAATTCAATGACATTTTCATTTAATGTGACAAATCTATGTTGTATAAATTACCAGAGGGAAAATTTCCAAATATATGAATAGCATAATAGGCTTTCATCTTCTTTTTCTCTCAGTTAGAACCTTCTTGTGAACAAAGGACAGTTGAACAGTAATCCCTGTGAAAACAGAAAAAATTATAATCTCTCTAACCTGATTTTCAATTGGAAGGATTGTATCATATGTAGAGGGACAGAAAATTATTACACAAACCTCAAGGAAAATATCTTCTTAATATATTCCAGGGAACCACAAAATTGTTTAATTGTAATTTGCAAAATACGCTATACTACTAAAAACATGGTTATCTGCAATATTCTCCTGGATCTGGCAATATAATAAAGCTAATGATCACATACTTTATCTTCAAGCAGTTAATAAGTGTTAGTGAAAATAGCAATTATTTATTGGATATTTATTAGAAGAGGTCAGTACTTTATGCACATTATGTCTAATTTTCACAAAACATTGTAATATGTCATAGTCAATTTTACCGTGAAGATTTCCTCAGTGTCAAATAGCTGGTGTCATTGCGTGTTCAGCAATGTTACATGTAAGAAATAGAAAGCACATTAGGTGTTTTAAGAAGAAAGAAGTAGAATAGAATGGATAATGATGCTCACAAAATTGCTGAAAAAGTAGAAGAAATGCAAGTCTGGACAAGAACAACCAAGGACCCTTGGTTTACAGATCACAACTGTAGTTATAATCTAGAGGTGAGGAAGCTATGATTGGTGCTTCTGCTACTATTGCTGACGTGACTGCCTCACATGCAATCACGCACTTGTGCTATCATGGCATAGTTTTTACCTGTGGAAGCCACAGTAAGATTGTCTCCATCTCATTTTTACTTTCCCAATATTGCGTGAGTAAATCTCATTGGCAAAACCAAAGAACATCTAGAATTCCATTTGTAAGGGAAGATTAGTCAATCAGCCCCGATCATGCAAAGGAAAGCATGAAAGAGAATGTAAATGGATGTGCTCCACTTTATAACACAGTCAACCCCCTTTTAGCTCAGTATTCACACATACACTTCTATCAAAGTTTCTAACACCAAGAATGACAAATATAAAAGTAAATGAACCTTCTTATGTAACATAATGCAACTCCCTCATGTAACTTACATTATTCCCAATAGGAAATATTATATCTCTGTGTCTATCTTGGAGTGATGTTCACTATTTTTTACACAGTAATTTTAATTTATTTTTCAAAATTTTATTTTATTGTGGTAAGAACACTTAAAATGAGACCTACCTTTTTAAATTTTTAAGTGTACATTATTGTTGACTATAGGCACAACGGTGAACAGCAGCTCTCTGGAGCTTATTCATCTTGCTTAACTGAAACTTTGTCTGTTGATTAGTAACTGTATCATGCTGCTGATAAAGACATACCTGAGACTGTGAAGAAAAAGAGGTTTAATTGGACTTACGGTTCCACATGACTGGGGAGGTCTCAGAATCATGGTGGGAGGCGAAAGGCACTTCTTACATGGCTGTGGCAAGAGAAAATGAGGAAGATGTAAAAGTGGAAAACCTTGATAAAACCATCAGATCTTGTGAGACTTATTCACTACCACAAGAACAGTATGGGGGAAACCACCCCCATGATTCAAATTATCTCCCATCAGGTCCCTCCCACAATGTGTGGGAACTATGGGAACACAATTCCGATGAGATTTGGGTGGGGACACAGAGCCAAACCATATCACTAATTCTCCATTTCTCCCTTCCCCCATCCCTGGCAACCACCATTCCATACTTTCATATTATAAATTTGACTATTTTAGGTACTATGTGCAGGTGGAATCATGAAGTGTTCCTTCTGTGACTGGCTTATTTCAATAAGCATAATTCATCTATGTTGCCACATATTACAGATTTTCCTTCCTTTTTAAGGCTGTATAATATTCCACTGTGTATATATCCTACCACATCTTCTTTATCCATTAATCTGTCAATGGAAATTTAGGTTGTTTTTTACAACTTAGCTACTATAAATAGTATTGTAATGAACATGGGAGTGCTAATATCTCTTCAGGATCCTGATTTTTATTTTTATTTTGGATAAATAACCAGAAGTGGAATTGCTGCATTTTAAAATATATCTTTTTGGCATTTGTTTGTCTTTTTTTGAGAAATGTCTATTCAAGTTATTAGCCCATTTTAAAATCAGATTATTAGTGATTTTGTTATTGAGTTGTATAAATTCCTTATATATTTTATAGATTAACCCCTTATCAGTTATATATTTTGCAAATATTTTCTTCCATTTCCTAAGTTGCCTATTCATTCTGTTAATTATTTTCTTTCCTGTGTAGAGATTTTTAGTTTGATGAAGCCTCACTTGTTTATTTTTGGTTTTGTTGACTGTACTTTTGGTGTCATGTCCATGAAACCATTACCAAGACCAACGTCATGAACGTTTTCATCTTTTCTTTTAGTAGTTGTACAGGTTCAGATCTTATGTTTAAGTCTTTAACTCATTTTGGGTTGATGTTTGTGTACGGTGTAAAATAAGAACTGAATTTCATTCTTTTTTATATGGATATCCAGTTTTCTATACCATCTGTTAAAGACACTATCCTTTTTCCAATGTGTATTCTTGGCACTCTTGTTGGAGATCAGCTGACTTTATATGTGTGGGTTTATTTCAGGGCTCCTTATTGTGTTCCATTGGTCTATATAACTGTCTTTGTGACAGCATCATACTGTTTTGATTATTGTAGCTTTGTAATATGTTTTGAAGCTAGGAAATGTGAGGCCTCACCACTTTGTTCTTCTTCCTAATTTGGCTATTCCTAGTCTTTTGTGTTTCCATATGAATTGCAGAATAGTTAAAAAAAAAACTTTCTGTAAAAAATGCCATTGGAATTTGACAGCGGTTGCATTGAATCCTTCCAGATTCCATACTACTCTTTGAGTAGTATGAACATTTTCATAATATTAAATCTGCCTATCTGTGAACATAGAATATCTTTCCATTTGTTTGTATCTTCTTTTTTTGCATAAATGATTTGTAGTTTTCAGATTGTTAGTGTACAGAAATACAACTAAGTTTTGTAGGTTGATTTTGTATCATGCAGCTTTACTGAATTTGTTTATTCATTCTAATAGTGTCTTAATGGAACCTTTAGGATTTTCTATATATAAAATCATATCATCAGCAAATGGGCAATTTTACTTCTTTTTCATTTGAATGTCTTTTATTTCTTTTTCCTGCCTAGCTGCTCTATCTCTGTCACAATTACACCTTCATGTCCTATAATTTAGGGAATAAATTAAAATTTTTTACCATACTGGATTGCTTTTTCATAAATTAGCGAGGAAAGGGGAGAGAAAGGAAATGTTTGTGATGATGTACATAATATAAGAAATAACTTCAATGAAATAAATTATGAGTAGATCTTAAAGTCTTTGATTCTTCATTTGGCCACTAAAGAAAACAGTACTACTAATAATGGCATATCCAA
The DNA here is from genome assembly GCF_000001405.40 of Homo sapiens. Lineage (NCBI taxonomy): Eukaryota > Metazoa > Chordata > Mammalia > Primates > Hominidae > Homo > Homo sapiens. Next base: position 38,598,322 of record NC_000012.12, on the reverse strand, counting down.
TGTAGTTTAGTTATGGAGACATTTCAGGCTTTTTAGTGACAGCAATACTCTATCTTGGGGGTACTAAAAGCAGTTGTCTTACACCTATGTAGGTCAGATAGTAGACAGAAAGAGAAAAATGGATTCCCCCATACCTATTTCTAGAAGAAAGTTTTGGGTCATGGTATCATTGTACTTATCACGTTGCATCAAGAATTGAGCCAAATGTGGCCTTTATGCAGGCTAGCAGGTCCAAAACAAAAAGGTGAATGGCAGAACTCTGTATGCTCGATTCTTTTCCAATTACAAAGGCTCTCTTTCTTTAGGAAGGAGTGAATTGGAAAAGATGGTAGAAATTCTCTTCCCATTTAGTTCAATCAGTGGAAGCTCCTGCGCTGAAATACTAGATGAAGAATTGCAGCAGAATGAGGAGAGAATGATTCTTATACATCAATTATAAAAGCCACATTTCTTGTATGCAAAGTTTTAAGACAAATTATTTGCTAATATCAGTAGTGTCATTCATCATCAATGGAAGGGCGAACAGGAAGGCTATGAATTGGTAACTCTCCTATTTAATAAAGACAATTCAAATAGTTACTTTGCTGGTGTTAGAGACTACACAATGAATGCTATATTATTAATTAATTAGAGGGAAAAGATTGATAATTGCATTCCATTGGAAATAAAATTAAACTTTAAGAATTTAATGCTACTTATATAAATAACAGGTATCTATTTCTATATATAAATAACATATATTTACATAAATAACAGATATCTTTTTATATATAACAGATTATATATAGATTTATACAAATAACAGCTATCTATATAATTTTTTTTTAAATAAACTTACAAAAATTGTTTATGGTAATTTAAAAAATCAGCAGGAATAGGTTTCTCTTTCTTAACATTTCTTTGGGATTTGTATTTATTGTATTTCTGAATTATGTTTTAAAACTAACTCTCAGTCTTTAGTTCATCATAAATTTTCTGAAAAGGTATGCTAGTTAAAATCCTGCCTTGTAAAATACCTGGGTAAATAAATCTTTGAAACCTTGAAAAAGCTTTTCTACTCCTCTTGCCACGAGCGCAGACTGGCACAATTTTGAATACTCTGACTTTTTCACTTACCTTGTAGGACATCCTGTCCTCATTCTCTACATCTCTTTGATATAATCCCTAAAACAGTTCAACTTCTTGCCATCAGTTTTAGTACCTCTAGCACTTCCGTTGATAATACTTGCAGTGTCTGAACTCAGACTAATATCACTCATATCCTTCATTCTTTAGCATTTATATGGATGTTTTATGGTTTGGAATTATAGCATGTAAGGCATCCAGCTATAACGATGTATTTATTATTTTAAATGAGCTAGATATAAGCAAGGTTTTCAGCTCTTGCTTGCTAATTTTAAGAAAAATTTCCATACTCTGAAACCATGATCTGTACTTCCAATTACTCACATTTTGATGCAAATAAAAAGAGATATGAAATTTGTAAGTAATAATGGAGATCAATCCATTTCTTTACACAGCTAAAAATCAGAAATATTGTAAATAGATGCCACTCATCAAGAAACTGCTCTGGTACTGATGAGATATTCTTATATTTCTTCATCAGATTCATATGCACTGCTTTGGCTTCATCAAAAGCCTTTATATGACTAGTACCAACCACATTATATAGCAACAAAGAGTCCATGGCTTTCGCCATACAATTTCAAAGCTTTGTTGATTAATTCTATGTGTCAAGCAACTATAACACCCATTACACTTTTAATGTCTATATTGCTCTTACATTCATTATAAACAATGTTGCCAGCTGTTGATAATTTTTTTAAAAAAATCTTAGAATTGGATTGGCTCAGAGAAATCAGGAAGCAGTGACGCAGTTTAAAAATTGATAAATAGTTAGCTAACTTGATAGATGAATGAATAGATGGGTAGATAGATACATTGGATAGCGATAGAGAGGCTGCAGAAAATTTCACTCACCAGACTGCCTGTGGAGGAAATCATGCATTTTTAACAGAAAGATTAATAAATCATTGTGGGTGCATAGTGAACAGTCAGGGAGTAAGTTCATTATCCCTAAATATCCATTTTCCCTTTCTTTTTTGATAATAGAACTTCAGATTTTAACTGGACTCATGATTGCTCAGAATAATTTTCCAGGTTCCTTTGAAGCTTATTGTATGGCAAAATAAGAAATATTGGCAAAAGGAATTAAGTAGAAGTTGTATGTGCAATTTCTTGGAAGCATTCTTAAAGACGGATGGAGAAGTCATGCTTTTCTTTTGGTGCTTTCTCCTTTCTGCTGATTGAAATACAGATGTCTGCATTTTGAGTAACCGTGTTGAAACATGGGATGGGAACCATGCACCAAGGAAAGGATGGCAGAACAATAAGATTTGGGAGATTATTTTTTTTATAACTGTGTCATGCCCTACCAGCCTGGGATTAATATAAGAAGTTTCTCTTATAAGAAAAGAAAATAAATTTATACCTTCTTTAAAGCACTGTTACTGTGCATCCTCTTGTTATAGGCAACATTCTGAAAGCCTCATTAATCTTGTGAGCCACTAAAAACGTTTTGAAATAGCAAAATGTGATTGGTAAACTGTCTTCTATGAGTATAAATTTCTAATTCATTTCATATTTTTTAAAAAAGTGCAAATTGATGGGGCATGGAGATGTAAGTTTTGGAGGCAGAGGCCAAGAGGACTTGATTTATCTGTGTAATAGAGAAGAGAGAAAATGTAAATTTTGGAGGGAATCAAGGGAAAAAGAAGAGTAAACAAAAGGATTGAGGAAAGAGAGGAAGAGAGTTTAAAAAAAGCCCCACAAATAAATCCAAAGAAACAAAAACATAAAGCTCATGTGGCTGGACAGATGAAAGAGATTTGGGGAAACCAAATGATATAATAAAAACTTCTAATATATTTGTTTTGGCTCTGCTATCAATTTTCTGTGTTTTCCCTACACAATCATTTGTGAAGTCTAGATAGCTCACTAAGATGCATCTATGTATCTATACATGTACTTTTTTTCTTTGGGGTTGAAGTCATGGTGATTCAGGGAAAAAAATAAGTCTATAAGCAAACATACGAACAAAGATTTAGTTGGCTCACAAATAACTGAGATATCCTTCATCTTAATCAGAGAAATGGTTGGTCTAGAGTATGAAGAAACAAAAGAAGTTTGTGTGCCAGAGGCAAAACGAAGAAAATGTTTTAGAGGAAAAGCAATCAATTATGAGAAATATTGCTGATAAGGAAAATAAAAGGAAATTGAAATTGACCCTATATTGTGGCAAGTTGGAGGCCATTGGTGACCCTCACAAGCACTGTTTCATAAAATGGTAAATAGCTTGGCTGGAGAGCAAGATAGAATGAGAAAAGAGAAATTAGAAACAGTGAATATATCCCAACCTTTGGAAGAATTTTATTGTAAATTGGAGCATAGAAGTTGGGCTGTAGCTGGAAAAGGATGTGGGATTAAGAGATTTGTTTCTGTAAGGTGAGGAAAAGTAATAGCACCTTTAATACTGATGAGGATACTCAAACTGAGAGGGAGATGAGTCAGGAGAGTAAAGGGAGATCTGCAGTAGCAGTAACCTTGAGCTGAGGGTGGACTCCAGTGGACAAGTAGAAGAATTGGTCCTAGTAGGAGTATCAGTCATTGATCCATGGTAACAGGAGGGAAAACAGATACAGATGAAGATGGCTTAGATATGTTTGATGGTGGCAACTTATGAAAGTAGCACTTATAGCACTTACTACATCTGACATTATTATTATTTATTTAGTTGTAAGGGCCATCTCTTACACTAGATTGCAAGCTTTCTGCGAGATTGGAAAATGTGTACCTAGTACATCACTATATTCTCAGCATAAAGAATAGCACTCAGATTAATAAATGCCCAATAATGGATGAGTGAATTAATAATACCCGCCCCCCCATCACACACTCCACTTCACATTGTGTCATGCTTCCACCCGGTGAGGATGTGAACATTAAGTGTTAAGGGTCATCATTCTAGGGATTCTGAAATTCTAGGTTATTACAATTCCCCAAATTTCATAGCATATTTATTATATGTAAAAAAGATAAGGCTGTCTGAGTTTCTGTCATGTTTATAACCCTCTGTTAGAGAGGAAAAAAAGCCACAGCAATTACTTTTCACTTTTACTTTTTTGTGTCACATGAGTCTACTCTCTGGACCCAGTGGATTGGACCTAAAGGCATACAGCAGAGGCTCTTGAAATGGGCTTTGCTCAAAAGAGAACATCTTTACTGGATGTAACATTCAAACACCCAAATTCTTTTCCTTTTGGAAAGCATGAATGAAAGACACAGAAAGATTAAGGAAAAATTTAAGATGCAAACAGAAGGCACTACAAGCCATTGGGAAGATAGCAGTGTAGGACAAAACAAAGGTATCCAGAAGCAAAGGCAGATGACACTTGGATCAACATTATGGTGGTAGCACTTGGGTAAGGAGTGAGGAGAGGTCTTTCTGGGAGTTTTCTGGGTTTAGAGGTTTGCTAGAATGACTATATTAATCTGAATGATGTTTCAAAGTTTTATGACATCTGGATGTGTGGCTTCAAAGGCTGTTTCTTAATCTTCTTTTCTGCAGTAATACACCTTGAATTAAGTTAGTAGGAGTGTGACTGTTTTTGCAGCCTGGAATGTGCAAGCATGTATTTATTATTTATATTGAATTGTGTTCTTCATGGTACATTATCTCTGGAGACATGATTAAGCTTCATGTTTTTCATATGAATGTCCATACTAGTGTCAAATTATTCAAACTATAAACTTGGGGATGATAGCACCAATGTCAGTTAATTTGAAACACGCAGTAGAATGGTATAATTGTATTATTATAGAATTACTAAATACTGTTGGTATTTTTATTATTTAAAATAATTATTTTCACTTCTTGGGTAGCTATTACTAAATGGACAGATTGGTATGAATAATGCATTTCAACTCAAAGTAGCTATTATTTCAATTAGATATCAAAGAACTTTTTAACTAAAAATGTATTTACCTGGGAAATTGTCTTTCCAGCTCTTGACTGCTTATCAGAGCAGAGAAATTAATTGCTTCTTAACATCTTCCTTTTCTCTTTGAGACTTCCTGCTCTATGTCAATCCAATTTTATCCAACCAGTATCAAACATGGCCTAATGTCTTGAGCTCTCAGCCCTTGTAGGTTAACTATATCAGAACTCTCCCAAGACCCACTATTTATGCCTGCATTATGAGTTGCTTTTAATAGTCTTTCTCAAATATGGTATTTTATTTTATGAAGAGCCTGTTAATCTTTTTGTGGTTTCTTTCCAGACATCAAGTGTCTGTTTTTTCTTCTTTGGTCTTTTCAAGCACCATCAAATATATAGTAGGGTAGATTTTTAAACAAAAATTAAGAATGGTTTCAACACAAATAATTTTTGAAATTGATGATAATTTTAATACTACTTCTGTATCAAGAACATGGAAAATACAATCATGATGACTTATGCCCTACTTAGCATTAGAAACAACTTACAGGTCCATTTCTGGATTGTTTAAGGCAACAGTGAAAATCTTTCTATACTATTTTGTTGGGTTTATTTAAAACCACACTATGAAGATCCTAAAAAATATTCTTTGGGGGCATATTTTTAAAAGGATATGGCCAGGGTAAGGTAAGTGCTTTTTGATAGGGAACATTCCTTTTGTAGCAAATATGGAAAGGAATAGGATAACTGTTTAGTTTATACTTAAAGCTGCAGAACCTGGCCAGAAGGGAATCTTCCTAATACTACTGGTGACCTCAACTCCTGATGTCCTTTAAGCCATATGTTGTTTATGGGTAGACCTAAACACACTTCCATTACCAGGTGTGTGAAATAGAGTAGTGGCCTTGAGAAGATGTCTACGTCCAAAACTCCAGAAACTGAATATGTTGGGTTACACGGCAAAAGAAAATTAAGGCGTAGAGGAATTACAGTTGCCAAATATCTGACTTTAAAATAGGTTATCCTGGGCTATCCAGGGTGGACCCAATGTACTCATAAGTGTCTTGAAAGTGGAAGAAGGCAGAAGAGAGGGTAAGAGAAAGAGGTGAAGCTCTCTGAGAAACTGCTTTGTGATGTGTGTATTCATCTCACAGAGTTAAACCTTTCTTTTCATTCAGCAGTTTGGAAACACTGTTTTTGTAGAATCTGCGATTTAATTTTTTAATGTTATACTCTCTTTTTCGCCATAGGCCTCAATGAGCACCCAAATGTCAATTGGCAGAATGGACAAAAAGAGTGTTTCCAAACTGCTGAATCCAAAGAAAGGTTTAACTCTGTGAGATGAATGTACACATCACAAAGCAGTTTCTCAGAATGTTTCTTTTTTGTTTTTTTTCTGAAGATGTTTCCTTTTTACCATGGGCCTCAATGCACTCCCAAATATCCCTTTGCAGATTCTACAAAAACGAGGTTTCCAAACTGCTGAAAGAAAAGTAAGTTTTAACTCTGTGAGATGAATGCACACATGGCAAAGTGGTTTCTCAGATAGCTTCCTTCTAGTTTTTATCCTGGGATATTCGATGTGATGGTGGAAGCGGGGTCAAAGAATTGCTATGTTGCTGGCTTTGAAAATGGAGGAAAGGAGTGAGAATCTAAGGAATGTGGTTAACTAATGAAAGCTGGAAAAAATACAGAATAGATTCTCCCTTAGAGCTTCCAGAAGGAATACAGCTTTGCTAACACTTTGATTGTAACGAGATCTAGGCCAAACTTCACACCTATAGTGAGATATATGCCAAACTTCACCCTATTTTAGCAAGATCTATCTCAAACTTCAAATGTATAGAACTATAAGATAATATATTAGGGTTGTTTTAAGCCATTATATTTGTGGTTATTTGTTATGGCAGTAAATAAGAAACTAATACACCAGGTATAGGTAACATAGTAACACTTGCTTACTAGAGTATTTCTGTGGTATGCTGACTTGGTAAATTCCTTAGTGGGGGTAAATTTTGAGTGCTGGATCACTCATATTAAAGTTCAAGAAACTCAATATTAGCATTAACTGAGGATGGCTTTAGCTAGAAATGCAAAGCATAAGAAATACAAGAAACTAAATACATGACTATAGCTTGCTAAGAACACATTTGACATGCGGTTACCACATGATGTGTTTATTAAGAATAGTCTCTTCCTCCAAATTATCTGAGATGTCAGGAACTAAACAGTTGCACTGTATGTTTTTTAAGATGTTTTAAAACTGTGAGCCTGTATTATTTTTACAGAATTTTAAAAATGGAGGCTGTCTTCTCCACAAAGGAGAGGACTCCCAGGTGTTATGAAAACTGAGATTAAAATTTGACATTCAAGATTTTTGAGTAAGTTGTCACCACTTGTTGCTCATGTACTAGGTGCCATACAGTGTTTTGTGGTTTAGCATGTATTTCATCACATATGTATCACATATTATATACTAAAGTTGAATAAAATTAGTATTCTTCCAATTTTAGATTAATACATCTAGGCAATATAAATACCTTGTTACAGATAGAACCAAGACTTGAACACATGCTTTTGTGCAATTTCAAATTCTTTCTATTACCCTATAGTGACTTATTTTGTTTAGCTTTACAAATATTGTCTTTATCAACAAATATTAATGTGGAAAGTGAAGATGATTGCCATCAGGGTTATTTGTAATAAGAACTCCTTATTTATCCAGGATGATTAAAATATCTCTAGAAAAGAATAATGTCACTGGTGCAATGAATTTGGTCCAAAATACATCTCGTCATTTTGCAGCATTAATTGTACAAAGCTTTCTCTAAATTTGAAATCTATGTTTTTAAAACACAGTGATTGACAAATTGACAATGACCTCATTAGGTAGTGACAGAAATGATTCTGAGAAAATAGGTGCTGTCAATCTAGCAGAGAAATGAACAAGAATTTTGGAAGATCCTGCTAATATTGAGTAGTATTTGCTATATGCGGTGAATCTAAAAACTAAAAAATGCACATTTCATAATTAAGGGGTAGAAATGGTTATAGCTTGAGTTTGGGCTAAGATAAAGTGTAACTGGCGAGAACAGAGAGTACATGTTGAAAATAAAGAGACGCGAGGTTGAATAGATTAGGATTAGATTATGAAGGATTTTTGAAAGCAGGCATGGTAGATCATAGAGATATAGAACATAAGTGATTGATTAAGGCAATGATAGGATGATCTGTTAGCAGCATTTAGGATAATCCATAGCAGGGAAAGAGCTGAATGAGAAACTACAGGTAGGAGGCCGGGCGCGGTGGCTCACGCCTGTAATCCCAGCACTTTGGGAGGCCGAGGCAGGTGGATCATCAGGTCAGGAATTCGAGACCAGCCTGACCAACATGGAGAAACCCCCATCTCTACTAAAAATACAAAAAAATTAGGCAGGCATGGTGGCATGCACCTGTAATCCCAGCTACTCAGGAGGCTGAGGCAGGAGAACCCAGAAGGCAGAGGTTGCAGTGAGCCAAGACTGCACCACTGTATTCCAGCCTGGGCGACAGAGTGAGACTCCATCTCAAAAAAAAAAAAAAAAAAGAAAGACAGAAAGAAAGAAACTACAGGTAGGAAAACATTATTACATCTCTAGGTCCTAATCCTCTCTGTTCTGAACAGTATCAATACACATAAAGTTGGAAATCTTTGGTCTTAGAAATCTCCATAGCTTATTTTTTTCTCATTTTTAAAATATGGACTAAAATACTCAATTCATTCCTTTTAAAAATAATTTATATTTTTCAGCTAAATATAAAATTGGGAAATTTTATCCTAATAGTTACATAGATGTACATATTAATATAGCAACTCAGCAGTTTTACAATGCATTTCATGACCATTTTCCAACTAGAGATCCTGAACAACCCTATGAGGTGGACGAAGAAAATAGCCTCATGCTCATTTTAAATCTACAGTAACAGAGACTCCAAGACGTTAAGGGGTGAATTCACGGTAAGAACCGGTCTGCTGCCTTTTGATTTCTCATCTGAAACTATCTTCGTGGTAACAATCACTTTGGAAATGAAAATAAATTAGTTAACCCCCCCACTCCCGCCTCTTGGATGTAATATGAGCTCCCTGCTCTCTGTAAGCTATCTAGCTATTGCACAAGAAATCTGAAGTGCATTCTTACCAAGGATTACAATAAATTCTGGTTGGTACTGAAACATCTACTTGTATTTCTATTATTTGCATTCCAGTACTCATGAAGTTTATAATTTCTTTTAATTAAAAGTTAACCATTGTTCATGATGCATGCTTTGGAGATCTAAGTTCCTTCTATTATCTTCATATGAAATTGAAGACACAAAACAAAGCCAACCTGACTGTGAGCTAACACATAGATGGTTTCCTTTGTAATATGTACGTGAAAGACTCCAGAATGTCCCCAATTTCCATTTGCTGTTTCACAGTGGCTGTTCAAACTGCTAATATGGGTGTGCCTGTGTTGACAGCAAGCCATTTTGTGTGTAAGTGCTTATAAGTGACAGGGCGAGGGTGAGGGCAAAGCAGTGTTTACCCAAAAGCAAGTATATAAGAGAAATGAGCTCTCAACAATGAGTATGGGGGCAGGGGATGTGAAGCCATGAGATTTTTTTTTTTGAGTTCTTATAAATGTGATGAAAGGAGAACTTAAGTGAATTTGGCAGTACCTAAAAGAAAATTATTTTATTTCTAAAATGAAGGTTCACAAGCCAAATCTATGTATTCGTGTTCTATTATTTGTAATATTGATAAAACTGTTTTGGTGTTTATCCAGCAGTGAAATCCCTCTTCAGAAGCTCAAGAAAGTTTCTTTTCTCTACTATGGGTTTAACAAACCAACTCATACTCTGTTAATAATAGCTAATATTTCTGCATCCTCACTTTGTGTCAGGTATGTTCCTAGGGTTTTATGTACATTATTTCAATTAATATTGCAATAGGTATCATAACAATCTCGAGAGGAAGACGGTCTTTTTTCAAACAGAATAACTGAAGGTAAGAGAGGGTAAGGAATTAGCCCACGGTGACCCAGACAGGATGTAGTGGGGCCAGGATTTGAACTCTAGTGCCTGACTCCACAATCACTCTTTTTACCAGGAGGTAATATAGGTGCCCCAAAGCTGTGACTATGGTAGTGCCAACCGAAGGGGAATACGATATCTTTGAGCTCTGTAGGTGAGATCTTTGTTTTTTTTTTTTTCCTGGGTATCTTGTAAGATCTTATTAAATATTTAAACTAAAAACTTGTAACATGATTTTCGATTCTTACTCTCATAATTAAGCATGTTGTTGATAAGCTAGAGAAAGTGGCACACAAATGCAATTCATCAGAACAAGAATGAAATGAATTATTTGCTGAGTTATTTGAAACAACAGAAGTAAAAACAGAGTGGAACTCACATTTTGCAATAGAAAAAAAAATCAGGAAGTCAGGAAGTCAGCGGGAATGTCAGATGAAATGTTTCTTGCATGAGCAGGAAACATGTTACTTCATTCTGGTTTTAGAATGGGAGTAGTGATCAACACCAACTCAATTAGTTTTACTTCTCTAATTGTAGACTTGTGGGGAACTGAGGAAGGCTCAGCTGTGCAAGAGTGACACTCTCTCTGCCTAAACTCTTTGGAAGTTGCCTTATGTTGACTGAACACTATCAGATGCAGAGCTTTCCACACCAAATTCTGTATCTGAATTTAGGGGAAAGCACCCTTCCCCAGCATCTCCCTAACATACTGAACATGTTTCCATCTTTCCAAGCTGATATCTGCAGAGGCAATGAGACCTGGTTTTTCTGTCTCCCATCTCTCTGTCTCTGCCATCTTATCATAAATCACTTAGCCAGAAGGCACAGGCTTTTGCTTTTCCTTCCTGTCTGTTCAGAACTTTCCTCTGCACTATATTGCTCTCCTTGTTGAGGTAGTGGCCATTCCTTCTCTCCTTTCTTAAAAACTGTGATGAGACAGGAAATCTAAACATGCTCATGGATATAATTTGGGATATATACTTAAAATAACATAAAGCTGTTTCACATGTTTACTTCCATCTAAACATGTGTTAGAAGAAATGGTTGTTTTTGCAATTTAAAAATTTAATATGGACAGAAGAGAATAAAACTAGGAAGTTCTGAGGTAAAGCAAAAGATAGCCAAGATGATGATGTTTAGCAACATGAGTTAAGCAACATAATAGCCTTATGAGGATACAAATAAATGATTCAGACATGAGTAGTCTGGAGCTCCAATTTAGATAGCAGACAGAAGCTTAAATGTGGTTACTACCAGGAATTATAGTTTCAGATAGAGTCTTAAAGCATTGATGTCCAGAAAGAATCCCAGTGTGTTAGAGGCTGGATGACAGTGGGAGGTATGGTAAAGAGAATGAATAATAAAGATTGTGCAATTAAAGGTCTAGGGTAAGAATGTTGAGATAAAGGGAGAAATTCATTCATCTGTACAAAATATTAAATCACCATACTCATTATTGCATTTATTAAAAATGAATAAGCACTTAGGGAAGATAGCAGATTCCAAGCTGTATATTTTATGAGTGCCTAGAAAACAATGGGAGAATGTCAAAAAAAAAAAAAAAAAAAGCTAGGTCTCTGTTTTATAATCAGTACTTCTTTTCTTCTTCACAGACAGGAGTAGTGTGCTGCATGGGGAAATAACAGTGTTGATAGATGATAGAAAGAAATGAGTACCTCTCTCTTCTTTGCTTCTGCCCTTTTTTTCTGGCAAAGATATTAGAATAGAGTAGAAACATCAGAATAGAATTTAAAGAATAGAACAAATATTTTAAAACAGAAATTGAAATCCAAGTTAGTCAAAAAATTGAGAGGAAACCTGCTTTTAATGAATTTAAATATTTGGTTCCAATGGATAATAACACAGGGGTCGTTGAGCCAATTTGCAAAACTTCACTGATTGTTAAAACAGTGTCACAACAGCAAGTTGGGAAATGATGAAGAATTAAAAGGGTTCCAGCAAACTGTAAATATATAGGCAAAGTCATTGTCAAAGTCAAGAAAATGCTTGATATCACTGTAACAAAACAATTATAGGATAGATTGTAAAAAGTAATGGTTTGGGCCTTCATTTGAATATAGTTACTAAATATCATTCTCTTTCTGGAAATTATTCACAACCAACAAGGAGAAGTGAAACAAAATTATAAAATCTGAATAAATAAATAGAATCTATTTTTGGGGAAAACTAGAAGTCAACGAAAACTCCAGATTCTCAAATAGCTGGAATGATGCTCAAAAGAATAGAAATAGAACAGGTGGACCCCTGAAAGAAAGTGGAGGAAACAAGGATCCCACTGGAAAAGTTGGCTTTGACTGTAGATTTCAGGAAGAACCAGTAAGAATACCACTATTTAAACTGAGAGGCCTACCCTGAAGTGTAAAACCGAAGTCCACACTGTGCAATATGAAGAGCAGCATGACAGAGTGTAGTCTTTCTATCAGGAAAAAGAAAAATCCATGGCTACTTATTCTTGTTGGTTGTAGAGAAGTCACAGCTAAACAATCCTCAGGTAGATCATGGTAATGGGATGTATCCCGTGTCTCACATGAAAATTCTGAAATAGCAAATCCAGAAAAATACACAACAACAAGAAAACTACAATAAGGAAAAAACTTATTGAAATAAAGAATAAGTTTAAAAGGCAGGGTAGTGGGAGAAACAGAAAAAGAAAACGAAGATGAAGGATGTTGTGGCAGCTGTTGCTTTTCAACTTCTGTCGCGGTCCCCTAAACCTAATTTCATCCGTTTTGTGAGCAAAAGAATCCTAATTTATAGTTGTCATGGCCCATCCAGCTGAGAAACTATGTCTCCCAGTTTCTTTTAAAGATACACATGGCTCCTTGACTAAGTTTGGGTCAAAGAGATATATAAGCAGAAGTGTTAGGTGGAATTTTGAAGAATTACTTGAAAAGAAAGTGATACTTTCTTCTCCCCCTCATCCTCCACAGTTGAATTTCTAGCCAGAATGAGATACAATGAGTCAGAATGATCGTAGGTAATTTTGTGGGCACTCACCAGCTCCAGGCTACCGGATACCAATCTCCTTTTGTTTGTTTGTACATGAATTGGGGATAAATTTTATTTGTGCTACAGTCCTTTGGGGTTTTACTGTTACATTCAGCTGGAAACAAACAACAGAGAAGTGTTCTCATGGAACAAGTAAAAATTTTCATTTGCCAAGACTTTGCTTATTATTAAAATACAGAAATAAACTAAACATTCTATAAAACAAGTGTATAAAACAAAAATGTAAGTACTCAAGGAGAAAAATGATATGATAGCAGCAGGAAATAAAAAGAAATTGGCATAATTCAGGAAAGAAGTAAAAGGAAAAAATATAAAGCCATCACAAAAAGCAGGACAAATTTTGAGGATCACAGTGAGAATAAACACTGTAGAAAACAATTAAAGACATTGATGACAAACTAAAATGAAAATAATAAAGGAGTTTTAAAGGATTAGAGAAAATAATAGCTATGGAGATCAACAAAATATATTATAATATTCATAATTATTCTTCTATGAAGTTAACTGAAATGATTGAACAGAACAAATATTTAAAGATATACTTTTTAAAATAAAAGAGGATTTGAATGGATATACTGTTTCCCATGAAAATTTACCTAAAAATTAACAAAGGCACATCCTGGTAAATATACTGCACTTCCAAGATAATGATGGTATTCTTTTTTTTTTTTTTTTTTTTTTTTTGAGACGGAGTCTTGCTCTGTCGCCCAGGCTGGAGCGCAGTGGCATGATCTCGGCTCACTGCAAGCTCCGCCTCCCGGGTTCACGCCATTCTCCTGCCTCAGCCTCCCGAGTAGCTGGGACTACAGGCACCCGCCACGACGCCCGGCTAATTTTTTGTATTTTTAGTAGAGACGGGGTTTCACCGTTTTAGCCGGGATGGTCTCGATCTCCTGACCTCGTGATCCGCCCGCCTCGGCCTCCCAAAGTGCTGGGACTACAGGCGTGAGCCACCGCGCCCGGCCAATGATGGTATTCTTTAGGCAACAGGTAGATAGATAAAGTCACTTATGAAGTGTGAAAAAGCCAAGCTAGCCCTAGTCTTCCTTAGACATGAAGGAAGGTAGAGTAATACCTCTGAAATCTTCCAGGAAAAAAGGAGCCAAAGATTTCATACCAAATGTAACTGTATTTCAAGGATAAAATGTTACAGATCAATCATGATCATATAAGAACCAGGTAGTAAAATGTTCCTATAAGACTTTCTTAAGATCAACTTCACCTAACCAAGAAACAATTGGTTAACATTGTCTACAAGTAAGACATAAACACGTGTATTTTAGGGTAGTGGGACATAATATTGCTACTTGTAGGAAGCAGGATTACATGCATTATCAGAACTTTTAGTTATCAAGTAAAATTATAACAAAAACAAAAACCTTCTTAAGATAGAAATATACGAGCAAGGGGAACACAGTAAAGGATTTTATTAAATCTATACAACATATTCTCAAATAAGCTGCAAAAGATATTTCAAAGTACAATAGAATTGTACAACACTGTGAATTTACTAAATGTCGCTATATTGTTCACTTTAAAATGGTTAATTTAATGTTATGTGAATATCATCTAAATTTCAAAAGTACAACAGAATTAAGATCAAACATTCTTGTGATATTATTTAACCTAAATGGGCTATGCTTACCTATTAAAAGAAAAAAACTCAATGGATCACAAAGTGAAACCCAACTAGAATGAACAGAAAGACAGTCTAAAGCAAAGTGTCTCAAAAAGATTGATGTTAAAAAGAATTGACACAACAAAAGAAACTATCATCAGAGCGAACAGGCACCCTACAGAATAGGAGAAAATGTTTGCAATCTATCCATCCCACAAAGGTTTAATGTCCAGAATCTACAAGGAACTTCAACAAATTTACAAAAAGACCCACAATCAACCCCATTAAAAAGTGGACAAAGGACATGAACAGACACTACTCAAAAGAAGATATTCATGTGGCCAAGAAACATTTAAAAAAGCTCAACATCACTGATCATTAGAGAAATGCAAATCAAAACCACAATAAGATACCATCTCACAACAGTCAGAATGGCGATTATTAAAGTCAAGAAACAACAGATGCTGATGAGGTTGCACAGAAATAGGAATGCTTTTACACTGTTGGTGGGAATGTAAATTAGTTCAACCATTGTGTAAGATGGTGTGGTAATTCCTCAAAGATCTAGAACCAGAAATACCATTTGACCCCGCAATCTCTTTACTGGGTATATACCCAAAGGCATATAAATAGAATTACAAAGATACATGCACACATATGTTCATTTGCAGCACTATTCTTTGCAGCAATAGCAAAGACATGAAATCAATCCAAATGCCCATTAATGATAGACTAGGTAAAGAAAATGTAGTACCATGGAATACTATGCAGCCATAGAAAAGAATGAGATCATGTCCTTTGCAGGGATGTGGCTGGAGCTGGAAACCATTATCCTTAGCAAACTAACACAGGAACAGAAAACCAAACATTGCATGTTCTCACTTATAAGTGGGAGCTGAACAATGAAAACACGTGGATACAGGGAGAGGAACAACACACACTGGGGCCTCTCGGGGGTATGGTGAGGGGAGGGAGTGCATTAAGAATAATAGCTAATGTATGCTGGGTTTAATACGTAGGTGATTGGTTGATAAGTGCAGCAAACCACCATGGCACATACTTACCTATGTAGCAAACCTGCACATCCTGCACATGTACCCAGAAATTTAAAATTAGAATTAAAAAAGAATTGACAAATGTGCACTAGAAAATAAAAACAAACAAGGCAGAAATCATATTCACATGAGGCAAAATCTAATTCAGAGCAAAATGCATTACAAGAGACAAAGTAGAATGCTTTATAATGTGGGAAGTAAAGATACAAAAGTTATTAATACATTTTCAATAAACAATATGCCATCAACATTCATAAAGAAAAAAACTCCCAGTTACAATGAGAAATAGACACAAAATTACTAATAATGTAAAATTTTGGTTCATTCCTTTTAGTTTATCACAGTCAAGGCACAAAAAAAAAAAAAATGAAAGCTGGCACGTGAGATTTAAATTACACAAATAAAAGGGTAAATATAATTGATTTATACGAAACCCTGAAAAGAGAGAATAGACTGTCCTTTCAAGTGGCTATGGAACTTTTGCAATATGAAATTTTGAAATGCATTTGCCCATGTATTAGAAAGAAATCCTCAGTAAATGTCAAAAAGTAATATTAGATTATGCCCTCCCTTCACTGTGTAAAAATACCTAAAATTAAAAAAAACACACACAGAAAACAAAAGCATTAAAAGCTGATTTAAAAAGCTTTCCCATATAAAATTATTTATTTTAAAAAATCTAAATTGAAATTTAAAATATCCAGTAAATTATAATAGTGAAAATACTGCATATCCAATACATGAAACTTATTAAGACTGTGTTCAGAGTAAAATTTTCAGCTTAAATAATTTAATCAAATGTGGCATTAAAGAATTCCAAAAAGAAAGAAAATAAATGAATTATGCATCCAACTTAAGAAATTTAGAAAAAAATTGTTAAAGCAATAAAATAATAAAATAGTGAGTTAATAAATGGCAAAAGAGAAAAACACTTAAACCAATACATCCAAAAGTTGCTTCTTAAAAGAACAGTAATAAAATAAAGCAATAAAAATGAATTTATTTTTTAAAAGGAGAAATCATAGGTGAGAAAAGGAAGAAGTGATAATATAAACATAACCATATCGAAACAGTCCTAAGACACTGATATGCTCACCCTTTTTAAATATATTTTATGGACAGAGAAAATGGCAAAGTTTAAGTGAAAAACAAAGACCAGAATTGTTATACTTACAATAAAATGAGAAATTTGTCAAGATGCTCGGTCTCACAGTTTTCCAAAATGCACGAAGCTCACATTGTGTCAGAGTAAGTTATAACAATGTTTTGAAAAACAAATATTTTCAAAATAACTTAAAATATTCTCAAACATAGAAAAAAAAAACTTCTAATTATTTCTGTAAAGCCCCCAAAATGTGATATCAAAGCACAAAAGAATCGACTAAAAAGAGAATTAACACTTTTACTTATAAAGAAATACAGGTAGCCCGGCCCGGTGGCTCACGCCGGTAATCCCAGCACTTTTGGAGGCCGAGGCGAGTGGATCACGAGGTCAGGAGATCGAGACCATCCTGGCTAACATGGTGAAACCCCCGTCTCTACTAAAAATACAAGAAATTAGCTGAGCATGGTTACACGCACCTATAGTCCCAGCTACTTGGGAGGCTGAGGCAGGAGAATCACTTGAACTTGGGAGGCAGAGGTTGCAGTGAGCTGAAATCATGCCATTGCACTCCAGCCTGGCCGAGAAAGCAAGACTCCGTCTCAAAAACAAAAAACAAAAAAACAAAAAACAAAAACAAACAAACAAACAAAACTAAAAGAAATGCAAGTGTTAAAAAATACTAAAACAAATTTGTGAACTAAAACCATGTTCCATACTTGCTGAAAAGACAGTCCAAAATCTAATATGTGTTTTTAAAATTTAATAAAATAGAGCAGATGAACTTACTTAACATGATAAAATATATTTATCTCAGATGACAAGTCAACATCATTCTTAATGGGAAAACATTAACATCAAAAAACAAAATATTTCTTATTATTGTTCTAAAGCTACTAACCAAAACGATTAGAAAAGAAAAATGATCATTGGTACAAATTTTTGAAAAAAAAATAATATTATTGCTAATATACAAATGATATGTTTTGTTATTGGAAAATCACAAAGGAATCAAAACAATTTGCAAGTTTATTTCCAAAAACAAAACAATTACAAAAAATTAAGATACTTTCATAATAAGCAAACAAAAAATATAAATAAATAGTTCAGATATGTAATTAATAGCTAAATATGTGAAGAAAAAATAACACATAATAGCAAATAAAAGATAAAACAGAAATAAATATAAAATGGTTATGCATTATTTACATATAAAATAATAAGCTCTCCAAGGTAGACTTGAAATAAAATAGGAAGCATCCATGTTCTGGGACAGGCACATGATAAACATGTAATTATATCCAATTAATGTATATATTTAATGCATTCCTATTGCAATATCAAGTGTGTTTTTAATTTCAATAGATGAGCTGATCTTACTTTAATATGGGAAAAATAAATATGAATAACTACAAAAATTTTGACAAAAAGCAGGAAAAAGAAAGGAGTTTGGTCTAAACTAGATAATATTTTATTTTTAACTTTAAATTTTAAATTTTTGTGCATACATAATAGATATGTGTATTTATGGGGTATGATGATTTGATACAGGCATGCAATGTGAAATAAACACATTATGGAGAATGGGGTATCCATCCCCTCAAGCATTTAACCCTTGAGTTATAAACAATCCAATCACACTCTAAGTTATTTTAAAATATACAATTAAGTTATTATTGACTATAGTCATCCTATTATGTTATCAAATAGTAGGTTTTATTGATTCTTGTATTTTTTTTGTACCTGTAAACCATCCACTCCTCTCCTCACTTCACCCTCCCACTTCCCTTCCCAGCCTCTGGTAACCATCCTACTACTCTCTCTGTTTGTGAGTTCAATGTTTTAATTTTTAGATCCCACAAGTAAGTGAGAACAGGTGATGTTTGTCTTTCTGTTCCTGGCTTATTTCACTTAACATAATGATCTCCAGTTCCATCCCTGTTGCAAGTGACTGGATCTTGCTCTTTTTTATGGCTGAATCGTCCTCCATTGTGTATATGTATCACATTTTCTTTATTCATTTGTTGATGGACACAGGTTGCTTTCAAATCTTAGCTATTGTAAACAGTGCTGCAACAAACATAGGAGTACAGACAGCTCTTTGACATACTGATTTCCTTTCTTTTGGATATATACCCAGCAGTAGAATGGTTGGATCCTATGGTAGCTCAATTTTTAGCTTTTTAAGGAACCTTCAAACTGTTCTCCGTAATAGTTGCACCAATTTACATTACCACCAACAGCGCACAAGGGTTCCCTTTTCTTTATATCCTTGCGAGCATTTGTTATTGCCTTTTTGCATATAAGCCATTTTAAGTGGGATGAGATGTTATCTCATTGTAGTTTTGATTTGCATTTCTCCGACTGAGCACCTTTTCATGTGCCTCTTTGCCATTTGTATGTCTTCTTTTGAGAAATGTTTACTCAAATTTTTGCCCATTTTAATTGTTAGATTTTTTTTCCCGTAGAGTTGTTTGAGCTCATTATATATTCTGATTATTAATCTCTTGTCAGATGGGAGATTTGCGAATACTCTCTCCCATTCTGTGGGTTGTCTCTTCACTTTGTTGACTATATCCTTCGCTGTGCAGAAGCTTTTTAACTTGGTGTGATCCTATTTGTCCATGTTTGCTTTGGTTGCCTGTGCTTGTTGGGTGTTACTCATGAAATTTTTGCCCAGACCAGTGTCCTGGAGATTTTCCCCAATGTTTTCTTCTAGTAGTTTCATAGTTTAAGTTATTAGATTTAAGTATTTAATCCATTTTGATTTTTTTTATATGGTGAGAGATAGGAGTCTAGTTTCATTTTGCTGCATATGGATATCCAGTTTTCCCAGCACCATTTATTGAAGACACTGTCCTTTCCCCATTGTATGTTCTTGGCAGTTTTGTCAAAGATGAGCTCACTATAGGTGTATGAATTTGTTTCTGGACTCTACATTCTGTTCCATTGGCCTATGTGTCTGTTTTTATGCTGGTACCAATATGTTATGATTACCACAGCTGTGTAGTATAATCTGAAGTAAGGTAATGTGATTCCTCCAGTTTTGTTCTTTTGGCTCAGGATAGCTTTGGCTACTCTGGGTCTTTTGTGGTTCCATATCAATTTTAGAATTTTTTTCTATTTCTATGAAGAATGTCATTGATATTTTGATAGAAATTGTATGGAATCTGTAAATTGCTTTATGTAGTATGGACGTTTACCAATATTGGTTATTCCAATCCATAAACATGGAGTTTTTTCCATTTTTGGTGTTCTCTTCAATTTCCTTTATCAATGTTTTATAGTTTCCCTTATAGCGATCTTTCACTTTGATTAATGCCTATGTATTAAATTTTACATGTGGCTATTGCAAATCAGATTTTTAAAATTTCTTTTTCACATTGTTCACTATTGGCATATAGAAATGCTATTTTTTTATGTTGAATTTGTATCCTGCAACTTCACAGCATTTGTTCAGTACTTCGAATACATTTTTGGTGGAGTCTTTAAGTTTTTCCAAATATAAGATAATATTATCTGAAAACAAGAATAATTTGACTTGTTCCTTTCCAATTTAAATGCCATTTGTTTCTTTCTCTTGTCTGATTGCTCTAGCTAGGACTTCCAGTACTATGTTGAATAACAGTGGTGACAGTGGACATCCTTATTGCATTCCGGATCTTAGAGAAAAGGCTTTCAGTTTTTGCCCATTCAATATGATACTAGCTGTGAGTCTGTAGTATATGGTTTTTATTATTTTGAGGTATGTTCCTTCTATTCCCGGTTATGTAGGGTTTTTATCATGAAGGAATATTGAATTTTATCAAATGCTTTTCCAGTATCCATTAACATGATCATATGGCTTTCATCCTTCATTCTGTTGACATAAGGTATCACATTGATTAATTTTTGTGTGTTGAACCATCCTTGCATCCCTGGAATAAATCCCATTTGGTCATGAAGGATGATCTTTCTATGTATTATTGAACTCAGTTTGCTAGTATTTTGTTGAGGATGTTTGCATGAATACTCATCAGAGATATTGGCCTGTAGTTGTGTGTGTGTGTGTGCACGCGCATATGCATGTGTCTTTGTCTGGTTTTCTTATCAAGGTTAATACTGGCCTCATAGAATGAGTTTGAAAGTATTCTCTCCTCTATTTTTCAGGATAGTTTGAGTAGGATTGGTATTAGTTCTTTAAATATTTGGTAGAATTTAGCAGTAAAGCCATTGGGTCCCAGGCTTTTCTTTCATAGGATACTTCTTATTACGTCTTTGATCTCGTTAGTTATTATTGGTCTGTTCAGGTTTTGGATTTCTTCTGGGTTCATTCTGAGTAGGTTGCATGTATGTAGGAATTTGTCCATTTCTTCTCGATTTTCCAATTTATTGGCATGTAGTTGCTCATAGTAGCCACTAACAATTCTTTGAATTTCTGTAGTATCAATTGTAATGTCTCCTTTTTTATTTCTGATTTTATCTATTTGGATCTTCTGTATTTTTTTCTTAGTCTGGCTAAAGGTTTTTCAATTTTGTTTAGCACAATTTTGTAAAACAAACACAACTTTTTGTTTCATTGATCTTTTGTATGTTTAAAAATTTCTATTTATGTCTTCTTTGTTTAATTATTTATTGTCTTCTACTAATTTTGGGTTTGGTTTGCTCTTGTTTTTCTAGTTATTTAACATGCATCATTAGATTGTTTATTTGAAGTTTCTGTTCTTTTTTGATGAAGGCACTTATAGCTATAAAATTCCAATTTAGTACTGCATTTGCTGTATTCCATAGGTTTTGATATGTTGTGTTTCTATTGTTATTTGTTTCAAGAAAATTTTCAATTTCCTTCTTAATTTATTAATTGACTCACTGGTCATTCGGTAGCATGTTGTGTAATTTCCATGTGTTTGTATAATTTCCAAAATTCCTTGTCATTAATTTCTAGTCAGATAAGATGCTTGATATTATTTCTTTTTTTAAAATGTTTTATTCTTGTTCTTGCGATAGTTTACTGAGAATGATGATTTCCAATTTCATCCATGTCCCTACAAAGGACATGAACTCATCATTTTTTATGGCTGCATAGTATTCCATGGTGTATACGTGCCACATTTTCTTAATCCAGTCTATCATTGTTGGACATTTGGGTTGGTTCCAAGTCTTTGCTATTGTGAATAATGCCGCAATAAACATACATGTGCATGTGTCTTTATAGCAGCATGATTTATAGTCCTTTGGGTATATACCCAGTAATGGGATGGCTGAGTCAAATGGTATTTCTAGTTCTAGATCCCTGAGGAATCACCACACTGACTTCCACAATGGTTGAACTAGTTTACAGTCCCACCAACAGTGTCAAAGTGTTCCTATTTCTCCACATCCTCTCCAGCACCTGTCGTTTCCTGACTTTTTAATGATTGCCATTCTAACTGGTGTGAGATGGTATCTCATTGTGGTTTTGATTTGCATTTCTCTGATGGCCAGTGATGGTGAGCATTTTTTCGTGTGTTTTTTGGCTGCATAAATGTCTTCTTTTGAGAAGTGTCTGTTCATGTCCTTTGCCCACTTTTTGATGGGGTTGTTTGTTTTTTTCTTGTAAATTTGTTTGAGTTCATTGTAGATTCTGGATATTAGCCCTTTGTCAGATGCGAAAATTTTCTCCCATTTTGTAGGTTGCCTGTTCACTCTGATGGTAGTTTCTTTTGCTGTGTAGAAGCTCTTTAGTTTAATTAGATCCCATTTGTCAATTTTGGCTTGAAATCTATTTTGTCAATTTTGGCTCAGTAAACTATTGCAAGAACAAAAAACCAAACACCACATATTCTCACTCATAGGTGGGAATTGAACAATGAGAACACATGGACACAGGAAGGGGAACATCACACTCTGGGGACTGTTGTGGGGTTGGGGGAGGGGGGGAGGGATAGCATTGGGAGATATACCTAATGCTAGATGATGAGTTAGTGGGTGCAGCACACCAGCATGGCACATGTATACATATGTAACTAACCTGCACATTGTGCACATGTACCCTAAAACTTAAAGTATAATAATAATAAAAAAAGTTTTAATATTTGTTTTGAGACCTAACATATGATTTATCCTTGAGAATTATCAATATGTTGAAGAAAAGAATGTGTATTCTGCATATTTTGCAGCTCTTGGATGAAATTTTCTGTAAATATTTATTAGATCCATTTGGTCTATAGTGCAGATTAAGTCCAATGTTTCTTTTTTCTTTTCTTTTCTTTCTTTTTTTTTTTTATTTTTATTTTTTGAGATGGAGTCTCACTCTGTTGCCCAGGCTGGAGTGCAGTGGTGGGATCTTGGCTCACTGCAACCTCCGCCTCCCGGGTTCAAGCGATTCTTCTGCCTCAGCCTCCTGAGTAACTGGTACTACAGGGTCACGCCACCACACTTGGCTAATTCTTGTATTTTTAGTACAGACAGGGTTTCACCATATTGACCAGGCTGGTCTTGAACTCCTGACCTCGTGATCCAGCCACCTTGACCTCCCAAAGTGCTGGGATTACAGGAGTGAGCCACTGCACCTGCCTACGTCTGATGTTTCTTTGTTGATTTTCTGTCTGGAAGATCTTTTCAATGCTGAAAGTCAGATGTTGAAGTCTTCAGCTATTATTGTATTGGTGCTTGTCTCTTTCTTTAGCTCTAATGATGTTTCCTTCATATATCTGGGTGCTCCAGTATTGGGTGCATATATATTTAAAATTGTTATATCTTCTCATTGAATTGACCCCTTTATCATTATATAGTGTCCTTCTTTATCTCTTCTTATAGTTTTTGTCTTGAAATCTATTTTGTCTAATGTAAGTATAGCAACTCTTGCTCTTTTTGGCTTTTATTGGCATGGCATATCTTTTTCCATCCCTTTATTTTCAATATGTGTCTTTATAGGTGATGTGGGAGTCTGGCTTTTTTTTATCCGTTCAGCCAGTCTATGACATTTTACTGGAGAGTGTAGTCCATTTACATTCAGTATTATTATTGATAAGTAAGAACTTATTCCTGCCATTTTGTTATTTGTTTTTTGGTTGTTTTGTGGTCTTCTCTTCCTTTCTTCTTTCCTTCCTGTCTTCCTCTAGTGAAGGGGATTTTCTCTGGTGATATAGTTTCTTGTTTTTTATTTATTATGCGTCCATTGCATGTTTTTTGGTTTGAGGTTACCATGAGGTTTGCAATAATGGGTTGTTTTATAACCCATTATTTTAACCTGATAATAACATGATTTGCATAGATAAACAACAAGCAAAAAGAAAACTAATAAAAACTCTATGACTTACCTTCACTGCTCTGCTTTTTAACCTTTTGTTGTCTCTACTTATATCTTATTTTACTATGTCTTGAAAAGTTATTATTTTTGATTGGTTCATTGTTTAGTCTTTCTACTTAGAGTAGTTTAGATACCACCATTACAGTGGTATAATATTCTGTGTTTTTCTGTGTACTTAACTATTATCAGTGAGTTTGGTATCTTCAAGTCATTAGTTATTGCTCATCAGTGTCCTTTTCTTTCTGATTGAAGTACTCCCTTTAGCATTTCTTCAAGGACAGGTCTGTTATTGATGAAATCCCTTAGCTTTTGTTTGTCTGAGAAAGTTTTTATTTCTCCTTCATATTTGAAGGATGTTTTCAATGGATATACTATTCTAGGGTGAAAGTTTTTTTCCTTCAGCACTTTAAACATGTCAAGCAACTCTCTCCTGGCCTGTAAGGTTTCCACTGAAAACTCTGCTCCCAGAATTATTAGAGCTCAATTGTATGTTATTTGTTTATTTTCTCTTGCTGCTTTTAGGATCTTTTCTTTATCCTTGACCTTTGAGAATTTGATTATTAAGAGCCTTGAGGTAGTCTTCTTTGGGTTAAATATGGCTGGTGTACTATAACCTTCTTGTACTTGGATATTGGTATCTTTCTCTGGCTTTGGGAAGTTCTCTTTTATTATCCTTCTGAAAACTTTTTACCCTATCTCTTTCTCTACCTTCTCTTTAAGGCCAATAACTTTTATATTTGCCCTTTGAGGCTATTTTCTAGATTCTATTTTCTAGAGCCTATGTGAGGCTATTTTCCAGGTGTGCATCATTGTGTTTTATTCTTTTTTCTCTTCTGACTGTGTATTTTTTGTCATCTTGTCTTTAAGCTTACTAATTCTGCTTAATCTATTCTACTATTAAAGGACTATGATGCATTCTTCAGTAGGCCAATTGGATTTTTCAGTTCCAGAATTTCCTCTTGATTCTTTTAAACTATTTCAATCTCTTTATTAAATTTATCTGATACAATTCTGAATTCATTCTCTGTGTTATCTTGAATTTCTTTGTGTTTCCACAACACAGCTATTTTGACTTCTCTGTCTGAAAAGTCACACATCTGTTTCCCTAGGATTGATCCCTGGTGTCTTATGTAGTTTACTTCATGAGGTCATGTTTTCCTGGTTGGCGTTGATGCCAGTATATATTCTTCAATGTCTGGGCATTAAAGATTCAGGTATTTATATTGCAGTTGTCACCGAATGGGCTTATTTGTAGCCATCTTTCTTGGGAAGGCTTTCCAGATATTTGAAAGGCCTTGGGTGTTGTGATCTAAGCTGTATCTATGTTTTGGGGCACCCCAAGCCCAGTAATGCTGTGGTTCTTGCAAATGTGTAGAGGTACCACCTTGATAATCTTGGACAAGATCCAGGAGAATTCTCTAGATTACCAGGCAGAGGCTCCTGTTGTCTACCCTTACTTTCTCCCAAACAGAGAAGGGGTGGAGTGACACAAGCACTCTTGTGCCTATCACTAGTATAACTGCGCTGGGTCAGACCTGAAGCCAAAACAGCACTGGGTCTCACCCAAGGTCTGCTGTAATCACTCCCTGGCTACTGCCTATATTCACTCAAGGCCCTGGGGTTCTATAGTCAGCAGGTGGCAAATCCAGCCAGGGCTGTGTCCTTCCCTTTAGTGTGGTGAGGTCCCCAGGCCCTGGGTGAATCCAGAGGTGCTGTCCAGGAGTCATGGCCTAGAGTCAGAACTTTAGAAGTCCAGCTGGTGTTCTATATGTTGCAACTCAGCTGGCACTCAAACCACAAGACACAGTCCTTCCCCTTCTTCCATCCCATTTCCAAAGGCAGAGAAGCCTCACTGTGTAGCCACCTCCACCCCAGGACACAAGGAATGCTATCAGACCACCAGTCAATGTTCCCTTATGGCCCTAGAGCTCTTAAATTAGCCTGTGGAGAATGTCGTCTGGCCTGAAACTTACGCTTCAAGGAAATGGGCTCCCCTCTGGCCCAAGGCAGCTCCAGGAATGCTGTCCAAGAGTTAAGTCCTAGAATTGGGAAACTTCAAAAGCCCACTATGTGCTCTGCCTGCCTCTGCCCTCCAGAATCATGCTGGTACCTAAGGTTCAAGACAAAGTCTCCTTTATGTTTCCCTCTACATTTCTCCAGCAGAAGAGGTTTTGTCCTATAGCCAACACAGCTAGTAATTATACTAAATCTCTCCTGAAGCCAGCAAATCTTAGAGGGTCACTCAAGTCTCTTGATGTAATACCTGGGTATTGCCGCTGGTTATTCAGTGCCCAAGGGCTCTTCAGTTAGCAGGTGATGAATCCTGTCAGTAATAGGTCCTTTCCTTCAAGGTAGTGGGTTCCCTTCTGGCTCAGGATTTGTCTAGAAATGTCATCTGGGAGCTAGGGCCTGGAAAGGGGGCCTCACTGGCCTCTGTCTGGTGCCCTATCCTGCTGTGGCTGGGTTGGTGTCCAAGATGCAAGACAAAGTCCTCCCACTCTTCCCTCTCCTCTCCTTAAGTGGAAGGAAAGGGTCTCTTTTGGAGCCATGAGCTGAGCAGCCTGGGCTTAGGGGAGGGGCGATGCCAGCACTCTCTTGGCTGCCACAGCTGGTGTCTCAGTATGTTGTGAGATCCCCCACCCCAGTCCAGTGTCTCTGGGCCTAGTTCAGCACTAGGACTCACCTAAGAGTTGCAGTCCTTGTGTCCTGTGTTTACTTGGAGACACAGAGTTCTTGTAGCCCTTGGTGGCAAGGTTTGCTGGCATTCAAGTTCTGACCCCTGGGATGGGTGATTCCCCTCTGACGAGGGCTGGTGCTGGTTAAATGCTCCTCTGTGGGCAGGCATCAGCTGGTTTTCCTTTATGCTCAACAGGACAGCACTGAGTTCAATGCCTCACAATTGCTGTGTTCGCTGTCCCCCAACCGCCAGAGATACTCTCCAGACCACACCTCTGCTGCTGCTGGGCAGTGGGGAAAGGGTGGCATTGAGGAGTCAGGACTGAAAGAATTCTCTCTTCAATGCCTCTTTCAGAGACATGAAGTTAAAACCAGATACTATGAGTGCTTATTTGATTTTTGGTTCTCATGAGTTGTTTTTTCTGTGTACACAGTTGTTAACTTGATGTCCTTGCCAGCGGTTGCAGGGTGTCAGGGATGAAAGATCAGTGGAGTCTTCTATTTCACCATCTTGTTCTGCCTCCAAATTATATTTTATATACTGAAAAATTAAAACAGTATGTCACAAGTACTCTGATTAACAGGTCAATGGAACAGGATAAAATACAAAAGAATATACACATTGTATTTAATATGGTAGCAGTGGATCAAATCATAAAATAAAAATATATTATTTAATTAATGATGTTTGGACATATGGGTAACCAGCTGAAAAAAAAATAGTTTGATTTACACCCAATTCTTTACACGAGCAAAATTTCAAATGGGACTGTGATTTGAATGTATAAGATATAACCATTAGAGTATTTTTTAAACTATGGAAGAATTATTTTATAATCTCTAAACAGAGAATTTTATTCTATGACACAAAACTTTGAAGCCATAAATGTGTAATAAATTTTAATACACACAAATGAAAAATTATACATAAAATCTGGGAAAATATTCATAGTTTATGTAAATAATAAAGATCTAATTTTCTTAAAGTATGAGAAGTTGCTACAATCTGATAAAAAAAGAACACTTTTCACCATGGGCAAAAACTATAGACTTAGAACACTCAAAGAAAGATATACAAATGGCTCTTAAATACATATGAAGCTGTTCAACAACACTGTTAGTAAGAAAAATGCAAATTAAAACTACATTGATATATAATATTTTACCTATCAGAATAAGAAAGATTCAAAAGTTTGGCAAGTTCTTGTGATCATAAAGGTATAAGGAAACGGAACTTTCTTACACTGGTGGCAGTAGTGTAAATTGGCACAACTGCTATGAAGGGAAATTTGGCAATATCTATCAAAATTACAAATATACAACTTACAACAAAGCAGTTCTACTTCAAATTTCTACAGACATACTCTACATATGCAAAATAATGTTTATGTAATGTTTTTTCATTAAGAATTCTTAATAATTGTAAAATACTGGACAAAACAAAAATATTACTAACATAAAACATGTTAAACAAATTATAGTACATTTAACCAATAAAAGACCATTTGATAATAAAAATGAGCATGGAACATTTTCAAATATTGATATGAAAAGTCCCCCAAAATATAGAATTAATAATTAATTTTAATAAATTAAAAGAACAAGGTATGAGTGTGTATGTGTGTTGTGCATGCATCTACACACATTTAATTACTATTGAAGAATACACAAAAATTAATAACATTGGTTTTTCATGAGAAGGGAAATAATGGACTCTGAACAGATATAGGAGAGACTTTCTACCCTTTATCCTTTCGGAATTATGAGACTTTCTGAATTTGAGCATGTACAGGCCAAGACTAGCCCCCGCCATCGAAAATAAAAAGCAAATATATATATATATATATATATAATAATTCATGATTTATAGATGTATAAAGAATGCAGTCATAAAGAGAACTTCTCATTAGTGGCCTAAGGAAAAATTCATACCAAACTAACCACATTTCTTTTAATAAATTCAGTGATATTTTAAGGGACTGTTATAGTTAGGTTGTATTTTGACTCCAGATTTTTTGTTAACAAATCACTTAGGACATTTCTGGGAGAAAATAAAATAAATGCAGGACATGGCACTTGAGTCAATTTACAACCAGCTGAAAACCCACAGCCAATAACAAGAAATTTCCCCCCTGTGGTGATATAAACTGCAAGAGAGTTGTTAAGAGCCATTTCCAACAACTTGTATTGATATTAAGATTGCTAATATGGTTTATAAGAGAGTAGTCATTCAAAATAATCTTAGCTATTAAATTGGAGCAAATGTCATTGTGGTTTTCACTATTACTTTTAACGGCAAAAACTGCGATTACTTAATTGAAATAATGTATTGGATAGGTTTGGGTCCTTAACTATGCATGATAATTTGTTGGGAAAGTCCTATGAAGAATAAAGAGGAGAAGGCAGTAATAAGCAGGAAGCACCTTCAGAGCTCAATGCAGGTATAACAGCTGTGAACAAAGAGGAAGAAGGAAGGAGGATTAGGCAGGAAGGGTCTCAGACTGTAGCCCACTTCCAAAAAGGCTTTAGGCAGGACTTCGTCCCTCAAACCAAAGTCACCTGTTAGAGGATCCCTGCTTCTGTAGAAATGGGCCAGCACTAGTATCTCTCACCTCGTCCAGTCTTTGGCTGGGAGCAGCCTGGGGAAAGTATAGCCTTATGAGAATGTGGTAGTTATTTCTAGAGGGGTGGCAGTTACTACTCACGGTGAAAGATCTGAAAAGCACATTTGCCATTATAGTCTATCCCTCGCACAGATCTACTTCTCTATGTACATTCAAGGGGGCAGCTCCTCCCTGGCTTCTGGGGGGAGTACAGGGGGTCTTTCTTCTTTGTAAGAGGGAACTTACAAGTAGGAGGTTAGTAAGATGAATTGTAGCCCCGTCAATGCAGTTATTTCCTTACCCTCAGCTCTGACCATAGCAGGTCTTGATGGCTTATCTGAGGAATCTAAAGTATTGACAATTGCACCCCTCTCAGTATGTGATTTCTGCACATCTTTTCACAGTTAAAATTGCTCCAGAAATCACCTGAATTCCACACATATTCCCTCCTGCCTCTATTGTGAACAAGTAGCCTTTCCTCTGCCTGATGATCAGAGCCAAATATTCTTATCAAGATTGTGATACCTCTTTTCAACTGATGGTCTTTGTCAAAAATTTTAAAGTGCTCTGGCAGCTGCAATAGATTGTGGTTCAACAGGACCTTTTCTATACTACCTGGCAATGGTACAGCAAGGTGGTAATAGCAAGGGGAGCAAGACTTCCACCCCTGCAGACCCCAGAGTTGTAGAAACAGGAAACACCAAGTCCTTCAGCTGGGAGCTGATGGAGAGTGAGCCACTTCGACTTCTTCATTTCTGAATCCATATATTCTTTCTACTGGGGGAAGGTGGGGGTAGGGGAAGCAGGACAATGTAAAGGTTTCTGATTTAATGCATATACTTCACCCCAAAGGAGAAAAATCTATCTTTTCAGAGTATTTTTCCAAGGTGGCACTTTATCTTTGCCTATGAGGCTGGCTGCCTCTGATTGCATGTGATATATTCACAGGATTCCATGACTATAGACCTGTCCCTGCAACTCCTTTGCTGTGAAGGGGGCCTACTCTTCTGATGCCATGTTGGGTGAGATTTCGTGCTTACAGATTAAGTATTCCTTAATCCCTTTCATAATGGTGCTGGATGATGCTTTTGGGGCAAGAAAGGCAAATCCATACCTGGAATAAATATCAATTTCTGTGAAGAACAACCCTGGCTCTTCCAAGTCACAAGGGGTCCATTGCAATCAACTTGTTACCAAGTGCCTGGTGGATCTTTGAAGTAGCATCATACTGGGGGCTCAGCAGTGGTCTCTGTTGATGACAGGTTGGAAATTCAGAGGCAGCAGTAGTTAGATCAGTAGTGGGAGTCCAAATTGTTGGGCCAATAAGAGACTTCTTTCTCTACCACTGTGGCCATCCCACTTTAGTGCCCATAGTGTCAGTAGTGGGGGTGACTAGTGATTAATGCTGGTGTCTTCATTTGGTTTGCTATAACAAAATACTATAGACAGGCTTATAAAAAAAACACTTATTTCTCACAATTCCAAAACCTGGAAGTCTGAGACCAGAGTGGTTGGGTTCTGTAAAGGCCATCTTCTGGTTTGCAGACAGGTGTCTTTTCTCAGTATCCTCACATAGTAAAGAGGACAAGTGAGCTCTCTGTGGTTCCTTTCATAAGCACATTGATCCTGTTCATGAGGGCTCCACCCTTATGACTTAGTTATCTTCCAAAGGCCCCACCTCCTTCCAAAGGCCCCCAATATGGTATAACATCATATTGAAGGTTAGAATTTTAATATGTAAATTCGGGGTTGGAGGCACAAACGTTCAGTCCCGTGAAGCTGGTTAATGGCAGTTGCCTGATTCATTTTGTTTACTGGGATGTTCTGTGCCACTTTAATGGTAAATGCTTTCTGTGGGGCACTAACTTTAGTGCCCATTTAGAGACAAAAGAATTGTCGTATTTTTTGCCCACCCCCGTATGACTATCCATATTCCTCTAGCCAGACCACCTTG
This sequence comes from Homo sapiens, assembly GCF_000001405.40. Lineage (NCBI taxonomy): Eukaryota > Metazoa > Chordata > Mammalia > Primates > Hominidae > Homo > Homo sapiens. Next base: position 38,566,966 of record NC_000012.12, on the reverse strand, counting down.
TCCCTTGTCTCATATTTTCCAGCCCTTGTCCTATCAGTCCCTTGATTAGAGGGCGTGACCTTGCTTCGGGATTATAGGGACCTGAATTGTCATTGACATCAACTAAATACCATATCTTTTCCCACCATTGATATTTCCAACACCATAGGCTCTTCCAGATTGTATGACCCAAGTGACAGGGCTGTTTGCACCACAGTATAGACTTGCTGAAGAGCCCTGTTAATGCTTTAAGCACCACTCAAAGCTGTCAGCTTTTGACATCACTTGGTATATGGGCTACAGAAATATTTCCTGGTGTGGCCATGTTGTGTCTAGAACCCAAAGAAGCCTACCAAGAGCTGTTTCCATTTTTATGGTAGAATAGATACAGCATTTTTATTCAATTCGAAGGGGATAACCTTGTATGATTCTGACTACTAGATCCCTAAAATTATCACTAAACTGATAATTCCCTGAAACTTTGTGGTGATTACCTCTCATCTGTTGGAGTGTGTGTGTCATCCCAAGGTCTCAGTCATATTAGCCACCTCTTGCCCATCCTGTCCGATCAGCATCATGTCATCAGTATAATGGATCCATTGATGCTTGGTGAGATACCTACAAAGTTTAGATACTTTTGGACTATATTCCAAAGAGGATAGGAGAGTTAATATACTCTGAGGTAAAAAAAGAATTAAATATTTTTGATTATTCTATTATTTTCTAAAAGAATTAAATATTTTTTGCTTATTCTATTATTTTCTAATCACAATAGAAAAAAAATTCACCAAATGAATGACCACCTAACATATATTTGAGGCCTTATTAATCTACTTCTGCAATGATACCACATTTGACAAAGTGTGTTCCATTCTACTATTGGTTGAGTCTGTGGTAGTCTTCAGTTATTTGCTCAGATCCATCTGGTGTCTGCAGGGGCCAGACTTTTTAATTAAACAGAAATATAGTGCTACCTGTGTATTTTTTTTGTTTTCATGGTGGCATGAACATGGGCCATCACCATGGGATACAATATTATTTTTAATTGACTATTTAGGCTAAAGAGAATGAGGAGCATTTGAGAGGTTTCTCTTTGGCCTTCTCCATTACACTACCTCTTATTCCACAAGCCAAGTACCCAAATGAGTTGCAATTTCATTATACACTCAGATGCTGGAAAAATAACCACTGTATGGATCTGCAGAAACAAATGGACTCAATATGAACTGATAGTAAATGGTCACAGTGATGTTTTGGACTCCAGGTACCAATGTCAACTTAAGATTTGTACCCAACTGTCCTCTAAATATCTGTGTATTCCCCTTTCTCTTGTATGCAGTTACCCAAGCAAATGGTTGTAGAACCCTAGGTGGGATAAGGACCAAGGGAAAACATTATCACATATACCTACCAGAGGATTGCAGGGTCCTTCTTCCTAAGGGCTAGGCTACCTCTTCAGGTTTTGGATCTAAAACTCAGTTGAGGGAACTGAGAAAGTTATTGTGCTTTGTTTGTTTGTTTGTTTGTTTTTTAGAGCAAATGCACTCAGCCTCCTTTTCTTCCATTCTTGTCTTTTCTGGCTGTAGATGTTAATCAGGATGCTGGTTGGCTGCCCATGCTCCAGTAACCAACTCCATGATTCCTTGATGGTCAATCCCCCATGGCTGTTGCTCCTACCTTGCTGGTCATTATGACAATTGTGTTATACTGGCTTCTGGCAGTTAAGAACTGCCACCAGGTCCCTATTACTTTGTGGTCCTATCATCCACAGGGATAGTAATGATCTCTGTGACCAACTCTCAGCCCTGGCTTACAAAGGACAGTCACCAATGAACTTCTGAGTGATTTTGGTGGCAGTCTCACCAGTGCATTCCTGATGGCCCTGGTGAATGTGTATTCTCTGAGTCCTCTCATGGACCATGATCCTCTTGAAAAATCTTCTTCTGGCTTCACATAAGGTATTTATTTCAACACTCTCTCTGCCGTCAGCTTCATTATTTCTTTCTCTATTGTCTGTAAGTGTAACACAGGCATTTCCACTTTACTCAGCTTGAGTTATAATTTTTCTCTGTGCTTCTAATACCCATCTAGCAATGACTTTGCTTTCTAGGACCCTCTGGGGTCTTTACCAGGATGTTAAATCGTGTGTACCAAATAAATGACCCCAACTTGAGGAATTCTTTCTTATTCAGATTTGTATTATTATCTCCTTGATTAAGCACCCTTAAAACTCAAACTAGGGTTTGTGAACACTCCTGGATCCTTGCTGATACATCTATCTAAATCTTGCAATTCCTTTGGCGTATAATCTCCTTTCCCCCAATCAGGCCCAGCACACACTAAGCTAGGCTATGCTAAGATTTTGTTTTTGTTATACTTCTGGAAGCCAGGAAAGAAGGTATAAATATAGGGGGATTGGCAACTTGTAGGGGTGGATGGAGGCTCTGCAGAATCTTCCAGCTTGAAGAAATGCTAGCTGTTACTAAGGAGAGGTATTAGAGTTCTTATTAGATGCCTCAGAACCTTTGCAAGATGAGTGTGTTTTGCAGAGCCAACATCTCCAGAGGCAATCATCAAGATATTGCAGTTCCATATTTCAGGACTCATGGTCAGGGCCCTGACCAGTCTTGGCCTAGAAGTCTCTGGAGCTCTGTGTCTCCATCAAACTCCAAGTGTGCTTTTTGGCTATGGTCCCTCTTCTATCTTTTGTGGTGTTCCCTTACACTGGGATATTTTCCCAGATCACCATCCATGAAATTCTTCAGGAATCAAGCTGCTGCCCTGAGCCAGGAGCCAGGTATATTCCCCTGACCACTCAGAATGGCTTTCATTTTGCACGGTGGGTGGTGAATGAGCCAGTCTCCAAATTTCATTTGACTGGCAGACTTCTTGGACCACTCTTAGTACTGTCTGTGTAATTCAGGTTCTTTGCAAAGCAAATGCCAAATGGAATAGGATTGTGAGAGTCACCTGTTAACAGTAAAAAGAAAGAATCAGGAATAGGCAGAGAGCACCTTCAGAGTGCATCACAAACCTGACACCTACTAAAGAAAAGCGGAAGGAAGAAATTGGGAGGAAGTGTCTCAGACTACGGGAAAGTTCAAATAAAGTTTTCACCAGAGGGAGGGTAGTTCTTGAGCCAGAGTTGCTTGCTCTAGTACTCCCCATTGTGTTCAGTCATTTAGTAGGCAAAGCCCAGGAGTAGCATGACCACTATGCAAATGAATTGGTAGATCCAGATGTGGGGGTTGGAGGGCTAGAGCTGTCAGTCAACTATTATTTCCAAGATGAGAATCTGCGTGGCACATTTTCAAGGCTACCACATGCACAAAGTGTGACCAAGTATTCAACTGGGGTAAATACATAGTCTTAAAATTTGGATTTAAAAAAACCAAATAATTCATTCATTTCTAACTAGGGTGAAAGACATAGTATGATAGAAGTTTATTTAACAAAAATCTGAGGAGTCTTAATCCTCACGTTTTCAGTAATGCAACAATAGGGAGTAGCTCCCTTAGACATGATTGGCATCTTACGCTGCACTTGTTGGAATATTGCATCCAGTTCCCAAAGAGTGATAGCCCTCCTATTCTTCATACTCATGAGATGCCATCACTGGTTTGTTACAAGTTCTGTGTGCCAGAAGAAAGCCACGTGAAATTTTGTCAAATAAACAGTTGAAGGAAATGGAATATTTAGTTGGCAGAAAAAAACACCTTCAAATATTTGAAGGCTGTCTTGTGGAAGAAAGTAAAGACTTGTTTTGTTTTGCTCCAGGGAGCAGAATTAATAACAATGAGAGGTAATTACAGGAAGGCAGATGATAGCTCAGTAAAAGAAAAATCTCTGTAACAATTAGAGTTATCCAACATTTGAACAGGCACATCAATTACATGCTAGGTTCCTGATCACTGCCTGGATGACCACTTCTCAGGGATGCCCTAGAATTGACTCATGCATTTGGAAGGGACTGAGTCTGATCTTTTTATTCCCTTCCAACCCAAATGTTTTATGATTCACCAATTTTAATGGATAGAAAATCACAAAGCATTACTTGAATTTTCCTTTTTGGTTGACTGTAATCTCAGAAAATTTTGCTAATAGAAGAGGAGCTTGAAACATCTAGATCAAAAACTATAGAGGTAAAACATTAGTTGCTGTGTGAACAGGGGGCATACATTTACTACTGTTGAAATATTAATGTTTTGTGGCTTTAATAGCATTTTTTCTGAAATAAACTTTAAAATCACTTGGTTCATTTTACAGATGAGCTTTTACAGGCTCTTACTTGATCACGTTCATGTATCAATTTAGTGGTTGATATCCTGGACATCAGGATTTCAAATAAAAGTTAATATGTTCCCACAACACTGTATTATTACTATCACCTTTCTATAGAACAAAGTTCTTATTTGGATAGACTGTTATGGGGCCAATAAATAAATAAATAATTTATTTGAAAGAGATGAATGATTAATTCCTTATTACTTTAACTTAATTCAATATGTATTAAATCAGGACCAATTTTGTGATCTAACATTATTCTTAGTACTGTGGGGGATATATTGCTTTATTTTTCTTCTTTAAAGAAAGACCTAGAAATACCATTTGACCCAGCCATCCCATTACTGGGTATATACCCAAAGGACTATAAATCATGCTGCTATAAAGACACATGCACACGTATGTTTATTGCGGCATTATTCACAATAGCAAAGACTTGGAACCAAACCAAATGTCCAACAGTGATAGACTGGATTAAGAAAATGTGGCACGTATACACCATGGAATACTATGCAGCCATAAAAAATGATGAGTTCATGTCCTTTGTAGGGACATGGATGAAATTGGAAATCATCATTCTCAGTAAACTATCACAAGAACAAAAAACCAAACACTGCATATTCTCACTCATAGGTGGGAATTGAACAATGAGATCACATGGACACAGGAAGGGGAATATCACACTCTGGGGACTGTGGTGGGGTGGGGGGACGGGGGAGGGGTAGCATTGGGAGATATACCTAATGCTAGATGACGAGTTAGTGGGTGCAGTGCACCAGCATGTGACAGTATACATATCTAACTAACCTGCACAATGTGCACATGTACCCTAAAACTTAAAGTATAATAAAAAAAAAAAGAAAGACCTTTAAGTGTTTATAGTTTCTTGTTAGAGACATGGAACATATGTAGAGGAATATTGAGAAAAAATTTCTACACTCTACTTTTACAAAACCTTTGAAGTCAATTTTTAAGTACTATTGAAGGTTTTGAAAAATTCATATTGTGTATATGTGCATGTGTGTGTGCAAAGCTTAAAAGAAACATTCTGGCTAGGTGCAGTGGCTCATGCCTGTAATCCCAGCTCTTTGGGAGGCTGATATGGGAGGATTTCTTGAGCTCAGGAGATTGAAATCAGCCTGGGCAACATAGTGAGACTCTGTCTGTACCAAAAAAAAAAAAAAAAAAAAAAATTAACTAAACAGAGCCTTCTTTTTTGGTCCAAACCCTAATTTTTCTGGGAACTGTTGTTTCTCCTCCCTCATGTCCTTCATCTGCTAGTTTCCTTTAAAGATGGGCGCAGCCATTTTTAAAATAAATGTTTTCTCTGGCCAAATTGATTTAGCCAGCACTTGCCACTTAATCCATGCTTACCAAGTAGCTTTCTTTCCTGGCAATGTTGGTCTTGGGAAAGACAGAGTTAAATTAGATCAGTTTCTCTCATGTTGGTTGAAGTTGAAATTTGTAATTTGGAAATCCAATCTGGGCCAGGGTGTTTTCCACTATGTAGAAGGAAGAGCAAAGAGGAAAGAAAAAAGGAACAGAGAGACAGTCAGACAACAGAGAAAAGCCCTCAGCTCTCAGACCCTGTGTTCCAGCTGCTCCAGAAGTCCGGTGGCAACCGTCCTTCCCTCCTTTAGTCTAGTTGTTCAATTACTCTCTGGATTCTGGTTGTTCAATTACTCCTTGGATTCCCTTGAATTCTGCCAATAAATTTTCTCTTTTTTCCCCTAAAATTAGTTCAAGAGGGGTTTCTGAAATTCACCATAGTAAGGTCCTAAAAAAATAATAAACTATATCTGAAAAACAAAGGTGGCCAGGCGCGGTGGCTCACGCCTGTAAATCTCAGCACTTTGGGAGGCCGAGGTGGGCAGATCACTTTGAGGTCAGGAGTTCAAGACCAGCCTGACCAACAGGGAGAAACCTTGTCTCTACTAAAAATACAAAATAGCTGGATATGGTGGCACATGACTGTAATCCCAGCTACTTGGGAGGCTGAGGCAGGAGAATTGCTTGAACCTGGGAGGCAGAGGTTGCAGTGAGCCAAGATCGCACCATTGCACTCCAGCCTGGGCAACAGGAGTGCAACTCCATCTCAAAAAAACAAAACAAAACAAAACAAAAACAAAAAACAAAGATGACCCAATATATGTCACCTACCCAAGTAGAGACAATGCATCATAGTGGAAAGACTGCTGACTGGAAGTGAGAAGGTTTAGGTTATGGCTCCAGCTCTGTGTTGACTAAGTAAGCTTTGATCCATTTTAAGATTCCTAGTTGGCTAACCTGAAAAGTCAGAGGGCAGGGTGGGGTTTTTAAAACTTTCTTAGTGGAAAAGTCTCTTCAAATAAAATAAAACAGATAAACCAATGTGTTAATCGAGGGAGGATGCTCTGGTTTGAATGTTTTTCCCCTAGAAAACTCATGTTGTAATTTAATCCCCAATGTGGCAGTATTGAGAGATGGCACCTTCAGTGGTAATTGAGTCATGAGAGCTCTGCACTCATGAATCAATTAATCCATTCATGGATTAATGGGCTAAATAGATTACTGGGTTATCATAGGACTGGGACTGGTGGCTTTATAAGAAGAGTTAGAAGGACCAGAGGTAGCACACTCAACCCCCTTGCCATATAATGCCCTGTGAAGCTTTGGAACTCTGCAGAGAGTCCTCACCAGCAAGAAGATCATCACCAGATGCAGTCCCACGACCTTGGACTTTCCAGCCTCCATAATCATGTGAAATAAATTCCTTTTATTTGTAAATTACCCAATTTCCAATATTCTGTTATAAACAACAGGAAATGGACTAAGAGGAGAAGAGAATAGGGATAAGGGGTCCAGGTCCTCTCTCTTACTCCCCACAAAAAGCTTCATGGAACAAATAGAATAAAGCACTAGACAATGTCTAAGTTCCAAATCATCTCTAACATACTGTGATTTAAAGAATTAAACAATGAGGAGTTTTAGTTAGGAAAGGTAAACTATTGGTTAAATTCCAATGAGGAAAAGCAGGAAAAAAAATTCTGGGGTGGAACTAGTAGCTAATTATACTCAAAAGCTGATTTTGAGAAGTAAAATCTCCCAGACAGGGAGTTTTTAGAGTTTAAAGAGAACAGGATGTTCTCTTTAAACATCCACAGGGAGAAGGACTTCATTTTTGCACTGATGACCTAATAGTCTTCCCTTTAGAGATCAGCTGAAGATTTTTCCCACCTGCCACTTGTAAAGAAAAGGCAAGTGATTCCTGATGACAATGTAGAAATGGGATCATCTAGACATAAATGGAATGATTATTATGATCTCAATTCTCAGATCAAAAGTGGAAAGAAATTCTGAGGATGCAAAGTAGTTAAAGGCATAAATAAAATCAAAAATAAAAATCCACCTTCCTGGATCACTAAAGGAAAACAAATTGGTGCTCACCTGCTGATAACCGCTAATTGAATTTTTTGACCATAAATACACATTGATTTTTCTCCCACTTGTTTAAAGAACACCACATATGTTATTTTGAAAATTATATGCTGAAAAGTGGCTTTAGTTCTCAGTTTGTAAAAGCAAACATCCTTTAGAGAAAATAGGTTTGCAATGCTTCCCCATTCTGACAGATTCATTTTCCTTCGTGAGAGACATTGTATCTAATTTTATTTTGTTTGAAACGCAATCTAATCCTTACATAACAGTCAGTCCTACAAGTCCTGAGCATATTTGGTTCTCTTCAGGTAGCCTGAAAACCTCGATAGAATAGGCTCTTTCACGAGCTTACAAATTCTTCTGTATCTCATTGTTGAACTGGAAGAGTAATACCTTGTGTTTTCAATTTTTCCAACATCTTTTCTAAATGATGGTAGCAGTTTGTAGGTTTTTTGTCAGATATCCTGGAGATAGGAGAAAGTTTTAATGACCTTTTTAAAGCAATACCATAGGCAGCAATAGTCCTTTCATAGCAGATGGTAAAAACTGCTGCAAAAAAGAGATTAAGAACAGTGCCTAAGGTTAAACAGCAAAATTTGGGCCATGTTTAGGCTTATAATTTTTGTATCTGAATTTCTCATTAATAGTATATGTGAGCTTCCATTGACTCTCAGAAAAATGGAAAGATCCAAGAAAACTGAAACTGTATTAGATTTGGATCCTCAAAACTTAATTTTTTCCATATTCTACACCATGGTCTATGTTGTGATAGGAACTTATCATTCAATCTGTCAGTTAGTCAGTGTTTTTAATATTGTTGAAAATCTCTGCATAAAAATGCTCATAAAAATGAATATGAAGGTATAAAAATGAACTTTGTAAACACATATAAATATAATGTGCACATATTACATACCTGCAATATACAGAATATATTTCTTTGATTCTAAAATGAAAAATTTGTTGTTTCAAACATTTCCAAAATTGGAATGTACTTAAAATTGATATTGTCATAAAGTTGCTGTTAACAAGGCAACAGCTGTGATTCATCAATGACTGATCCTGGGTAGAGAGCAGATCTAGTTTTCCATTCTACTATTCTTTGAACTTCTCTGTATCTTTAAAATTTTTCATAATCAATGCTTTGGGGAAATCTATTTAATTAAATAGTTTAAATCAATCATTAATTAAATTAAGTAATTTAATTAAATAAGCCTATTTAATTAAAATCTTTGTGGCACAGGGCATAATGTTTTGTTGAAAAATGTGGACACCAATAGCTCTCACCATGAAAGTGTTTTACAAGATTGAGACTCTGAATATGCAGAAATTTTAGGAATACCTTAACCATTTCTGTTTGCTTAACTGATATATGAGACATATAATTTTAAAAATCTGAAAGAGTTCTTTTAAAAAACATAAAGTAACAATTCTCAGTGACAAGAAAGCATTATGTCAAAGGTTAACTGGCAGTGACTTTTTTCATTTTGGTGCTCCTGAAAATAATGGTGAATTGCACAATATAAAATACTGTTAGTAATATTTCCAAAGCTACATGTCATAAAGAATTTATAGCCTTAACTTTCATATCTGAGTGTTAAATAAATATACTACCTACCACTTAATAAACATCCATAATATGCTAAGAATTTTATGTATATCATTTGACTTAATCCTTAAAAAATTATTTTCTTCATTTTACATATAGGGCAACTGAGAGAGAGACAGGTAGCTTGCCAGTTGTTCTGTAGTTACGGAAGTAGTAGAGCCATTATTCACACTCAGGTCTACTTGGCCCGAAGCACTATCCCATAGGAAAAAAAAAAAAAAAAAGACTTTCCTGCTGTCTGTGAGACAGGAAAAAAAGAAACCCACCAGAAGTATATAAACAATAAAAATGTTTTAAAATCCCCAAACAATTCAACAATATTGTGGATAGTAGGTGGAACCACCTTAAAAAAAAAAAAAACAAACTATGATGCAGGTAAATGAAACTTTCAACTTCCAAAGTTCCCTCTATTCCCTGTAGAGCAGTAAGTAGTTCACAAAACTGGCAACATATTAGAATTATCTTGTGTGCTTGTAAAAATACAGACTCCTGAGTTTTATATCTGTAGACATCTCTGATTCAGATTATCTCTGAATCTCTGATTCGGTAACTTTGCAAAAAGGACCCAAGGAATCTGTTTATCTAAATATTTCCAGTGAAAATTTGGTACATAGTCAGGTGTGAGAACCTCTGCTGTAGAAAAGAAGACATTGTGTAAATGTTAATACAGCTTAGATTCAAATTCCAGCTCTACCGCTAGCTGGTGAGACCTTTGGCAAATTACCTTGTTACTCTGCTTTGATGTATTCATCTCTAAAACAGAGCTATTAATAGTAATACCTTACAGGGTCATTGTGAAGATTAAATAAATTAAATGCATGTGGTGTTCTTAGAACTGTTCTTGGCAGAGAATAACAACTGAATACTTGTTGTTGGCTACTGTTAGGTGTTTGGCATAGACGTTCTTCTTTGTGAACTCATGGCTATTAAAAAGAAAGGCACATAAGAGAACAAAATAAAATAAATAGTGTGGAAGTTTTTAAGTGCACTCAGCATAATCAGGAGTTTATTTACCCTTCCACCTAAAATGCCCAAAAACTAGACAAAATATATGATGAAATATTTTTCTAAACAGTGGAAAACAGAAAACAAAGGACAGTGATCCCTGATTGATGGAGGCAAAAATAAGGTGAGATTTATCATTGGTCCTGTTTACTGCTTGAAAGAGCTTTCTAGACATGGTATAAGGAGGGGGAATCTATGCAATGCAAGTAATTACATCCTGGGGTGGCAGGGATCATGTGGCAACACTCAACCACTAAAGGCAAGGTGGGTGTGGTTACTATAAAGGACAGCAGAGACAAAGCAGCAATGAGAATAGTCTGACTCATGCAGGCCTATCACATTGGCTAATTGACGTTACAAGAAAAACGTTGAACTAACTAAATTTAGCAGAATTGATCTGAGCAAAGAACCACTCATGAATCCAACAGCCCTCAGAACCAGAAAAGGTTCAGAGAGCTCCACCCAACAAGGTCGGCAGGCAGTATTTATTAGACAGAAAAAGGAAGTGACATATAGAAACAGTTTTATTGGTTACAGTGGAGCATTTGCCTTGTTTGGTCATGATGTGATGAGATATTTGCTTTATATGAATGCAGTCTGGTCAGTTTGCAGCCTGTGATTGGCTGAAGCTCAGCTGCTTTAATTGGCTAAGACTCAGATACTTCTTAGGAGAATATACTCTCAAGTTATATTGCAGTTTGTTTACATAAAAATTAGGTTGTAGTTTGCTAAGCATCCCATGTAAATAAGCAGCTTTAGGACAAATGGATGTGATATAATATATACGTAATTGGGAAGGCACCACCTGAAGTTGGACAACTGAAGCACTGCAGCCCCCTTCTGGGACATTTCTAAAGGACAGTGATGAAGGGAATTTCTTTCAGTGGACAGAACTTCCAGCAGTGTACCTGGTTGTTTACTTTGCTTGGAAGAAGACATGACTACATGCGCAATTATGTAACTATTGACTAGGGGGTCAGGGACTGGGAAGAAGCATAATTGGAAAACTGGTGTCAGGAAAGAAAAAATGAAATTGTGTTATTTATAGATGACAGGATTGAGTATGTAGCAAATTTGATGGAATCCACAAAAAAGCTACTAGAACTTACAAGTGGTTTACCAAAGTAACAGGATGGAGGATACATATGCAAATATAAATTGTATTTATATGTATGAAATGACAACTAAAACAAGTAAATAAAACTGAATTTAAAATATCATTAAATAACAAATATTAAATGCTAAGAGATAATCTGAAAAAAGGTGTGAAAAATCTGTATACTGAAAGTTATACATATTAGTGAGATAAATCAAAAAAGACCCATTAAATGGAGAGATATATTATGTTCTGGATGAGAATATTATTATTATGATCTTTAGTCTCTATAAATGATTTATGTATTAACAAATCCCAATAAATACTAGTAAGCTTTTTTTGAGTTAGAAATTGAAAAAGTAATTCTAAAATTTATTTGGAAATGTAAATGACAACAAATAGCAGAAACAATATATATTTTTTTTTTTTTGAGATGGAGTTTCACTCTGTTGCCCAGGCTGGAGTGCAGTGGAGCGATCCCAGCTCACTGCAACCTCCACCTCCCGGGTTCAAGCAGTTCTCTGCCTCAGCCGCCCGAGTAACTGGGATTATAGGCACCCACTACCGCAGCCAGCTAATTTTTTGTATTTTTACTAGAGACGGGGTTTCACCATTTTGGCCAGGCTGATCTTGAACTCCTGACCTCGTGATCCACCCGCCTCGGCCTCCCAAAGTGCTGGGATTACAGGCGTGAGCCATCGTGCCAGGCCAAAAACAATTTTTTAAAAGAGGAACAAAACTGGAAACCTAGTTCTACTTGATTTAGTCTTATGATAAGCTCATTATAAAGTTATAGTAACCAAATAGTGTTTTTTGGAGTTATGACAGAAAACTCAATCAGCAGAACAGAATTAGAGATTCCAAAGATATACCCATAAATGTATGGGTAACTGATGGACTCTGCAAAGATGCAGAGGCAATTCAGTGCAGAAAAGATTGTCTTCTCATCAGAATGTGCTGGATAAACTAGATATCCATGAACAAAACAAAGCAAAAGATTCTTACCTTGAAGGAAATATAAAAATGAATTCAAAATGGATCATACACCTATATCTACAAGCTAAAAACCATACAAATTCTAGAGAAAACATAGAAAAACTTTTATGAACTTCCCTGAGTTAGACAACAGTTTTTTAGATCTGACACCAAAACATGATCCATAGAGGGAAAAATGATAAATGGAATTTCAGCAAAAATTTTTATTTCTCTTTGGAATAAGAGAAAGAAACTACTAAGAGAATGGAAATAAAGCCATAGACTAGAAGAAAGTAGGTGCAAATCATATATATAATAAAGGTTTTGTATCCACAATAAATAAAAAACTCTTAAATAATAGGGAAACAAACAACCCAATAAAAAAGGAGCAAAGTATTTGAACAAACATCACTAAAGATATAAAAATGACAAATCAACACATGAAAAGATGCTCAACACCATTAGTCTTTAGGAAAATGTCAGTTAAATCATGTTATACCCTTACACTCAAATTAGAACGTCTAAAATTAAAAGACTGACCATAACAAGTTTTGGTGAGGATATAGAGGAGCTGGAACACTCAAGCACTGAAGGTGAAAATTTAAAATGATACAGCCACTTTGGGAAACAGTTTGGTAGTTTTAAAAAACTGAAACATATACCTACATATGATCTAGCCATTCTATTTCTAAATATTTAAAGAAAAGATATAAAAGCATATGCCTGTATGAAACTTATATATGAATGTTTATCGTAGCTTTATTTTGTAACAGTCCAAAACAAACAACTGAAATGTCCATCTATGGGTGGATATATAAACAATTGTATTCCCACAATGAAATGCAATATATTCAATGAATATATATTCAATGTGCAATGGAATACTACTGTGCAATAAAAAAGTCTCACGCTATTGATACAGGCAACTACATGTATAGATCTCAAAATAATTATATTGCGTGAAAGGTAGACAAAAAGGCTATATGTTGTGTGACTCCTTACATATACAATTCTAGAAATTGCAAACTAATGCAAAGTGACAGAAAGCAGTTCATTGTTTGTTTAGATGAAAAGAAAAAGAGAGGGATAGAAAAAGTTACAAGGAAAAGTGGTAGTTGTCATTGGAAATCTATATTGAAAGCCATAGGGACTGCTGTGTAAAATGGCTGATTGAAAACACACAAATCTAATTTTACTCCAAACCAAACTCCCACTGTAAATACAAAAGCATGCTGTTTTTTGAAAAATAAACCCATAGATAATGGGAAAACAGGAAAGGAGAAAACATCACAAGAAAAATTTGGAAGCCGGGAAAACAGATGGGTAAGTGGTAATTGACTAGCACGTTTGAGAAAGTTGACTCATGAATAGGGATTAATAAGGCTAAGATTCAGCATGGTTTATGCAGAGGATCACCTAAAGACAGAAAATGAGAAGACCAGGTTCTACTGTGAGAGGAGATGAAGGGAAGGGGGGTAAATAAGGTGCATTACTTGAAAATGTAATAAATAATTGAACAGTCAAATCCCTTCCCTAACTCTTCACAGTCTAGAGATTTCTCACAACCCAGAAGAAGACTTAATAGTTTCCTTCTGCAGAAGGTAGAGGACTTTTGTTTGCCACTTGTTCTTGGACTTAGTGACACCAAACACAATGGAAGTCCTAGGTTCTCTATCATAAATAGGGGGATTAGTAGAATGTGTACAGACTGGATTTTGAGACTCATAGATTTTTTCAACATATTTGCCAGAACAATGGTAACCATGCTTTCACTTGGCAGACAAAAAATTGAAAAAGTCTTATTTACGTAATATAATCATTCCAATGGAAAATAGTTAAATATATTGACATCAAGATTTTATAAATAAACAGGCCAGTCTAATCTTCCTATGATAAAACACATAGCTGACAAGCCCCAACCGTGTATTACTCAATAGCTTTACAAACACTATTTCAGTCCCACATTCTTAAATATGAGCATATAACCAAGGATGGCCAGACCTCTGAAGAAGCCACTAATATGAAAGTTACCGCCTAAAAGAAGTAAGTAGAAGCAAGCCACACAGGGATCAGGGGCTATTCTAAGAAAGCAAACTTGGGAGAGGTAAGACAATTTGTACTGTGAAACAAACAAATTGCGAAAATTGGGAACATTCAAGTTATTTTGTGAGGAATGAACTGGAGATTTGATGGTTTCTGAAAATTTTAACCAATTAATGTAGTTCCATCTTTAATTCACCCTTTAAAAAACCAGGTGCTGCTGATTCCTAAGATGACACAGGGAGATTAAATTGGGTTGCAGTATAAATTGGGTTGGATTTGTCTTTTATCAATCCTTATTAATCAAATTTCTCAGATATGGTAAGACAATTACCATTTGTCCACCATCTTTCAAGTTACCTCTTTTGGGTTTTTGTTTTTGTTTCTGTGTTTTCCCTTTCTCTTCCCTTTTTTGTTGTTATTGAATTTAAAAATGCAAATCTGGAAGTGAAAATCTCAATAGAAGTAAATTATAAAATTAACCCAGGATGCCCAGTATTTGGGTAATATGTGTTCCAAAAAGAGAGAGCAAAGGACACCTAGAAGATATCACCTATGAAAGCATTTAAGGAAATAAAATCACCAAAAAATAAGGGCATGATTTCCATATTTAAAGGATCTGTCAACACACACTGGTTAAAATAGAAAAAAGACACACTGGTGAAAATAATGAAATTTCGAATGCTCGGGACAAATAGATAATGCTACGTGGAAAAAGTAGTTAATATAAAACGAATTTGCAATCAGGATGACCTTGGAATTCTTAATAGCATTAAGGAAAGCTAAAAGAAGATGAATTATTGCTTTTAGAATTGTGTAAAAATAATTTTCAATCTAGAATTTTATATTCAGTCAAACCATCCATTAAGTGTGAATGTAGAATAAAGCTTTTTTTTATGTACATGTTACAAAAAAATACCTCTCACAAACATTTTTTAGTAAGCGCTAACAGTCTGCTCCCATGGAGTAGACAAAATTGAAAGACATGGCATACAGGAGAGTCATCACAAAAATTCCCATAATGAAGGCTGTGCACCAGACTGAGAATAATCAGTCAAGATGATAGCTGCAATATGGTACTATTCAAGAGAGATGTTCTGAAGAAAAAAACGGTACCAAAAAGATTAACTTATGATTTCTATTTTATTGAAAGTTATGAATGAACAGCCACAGATTATTTGAGATCATTTGAGAAAATTCTAGAAATACAGAAGACATCAAAATCAACAAATAGGAAAAGTAATCTGAGAAAGAGAATGCATCAATGAAAATGGAACACAATTTTTTTTTTAAGAAAAATAGTAAGAGGAAGGGAGAAGGATAAGACCAAGGTCTAAGAACTCACAGAGAGGGGAACTATTTTTTTTTAATTAAAAGAAGGCTTTGATAAAACTTCTGTGAATTTTTACAGACAATAGACTAAAAAAAAGACCAAGATATTTGCTATGCACGTACACACACATACACACTCATATACATTCATATGTAATATTACCTGCATTAAGTGTAAGGATTATATGGCCATAAATAATGTACGAATCCAGTGAGGTCAGCTGTGAACAATGTTTACATAGACAGCGATTTATATGCTGTATATTGAAATAACAGAAACTTTTGAAAGAAATTTTCTAAAGAACATGGAGAGAGAGGAATAAAGTATAGATAGGATAGAAAAGTGATAAATTCTTCTCTTCTCTGGTAGAATATAAATAGATTTGTCTAAAATTGAAGAAAAG
Source organism: Homo sapiens (assembly GCF_000001405.40). NCBI lineage: Eukaryota > Metazoa > Chordata > Mammalia > Primates > Hominidae > Homo > Homo sapiens. Next base: position 38,550,825 of record NC_000012.12, on the reverse strand, counting down.
GAATGGCTTACATTGAAAATGAATGCAAAAATCAGAAGAAAAAGCTAAAAATTAAGAATGGTTTTCTCACAAAGGGGGGCCCAAGAATAGAGAAAGGCACTTATTAGAAGCTTTATAGTAATAGTAATAAAACACAAATTAAATATACCTTGAAAATAAGTACAATAAGTATAATCCATAGTAGCCAAAAAGTGGAAACAACACAAATGTTGATCAATTAAGGAATAAACACAATGCTGTATATCCATACAACAGATATTAGTCAGCCATAAAAAGGAATGAAGTACCAATACATACTACAACATGAACGAACCTTGAACATGTTATGCTATATAAAAGAAGCTAGACACAAAGGCCATATTTGGAATGATTCCATTTATATAAAATGTCCAAAATAGGCAAATTTATAGAGACAGAAAGTAAATTAGTGATTGCCCAGAGTTGACTGGTTGAATGGTAGTGACTGCTAGTATGTATGGGGTTTCTTCTTGAGATGATGAGAATTTTCTGGAAAAAAATTCTGGTGCTAGTTGCAGAAGATAATGACTGTGCTAACAACCACTTGATATAGTTTGGTTGTGTCCCCACCCAAATCTCATCTTGAATTCCCATGTGTTGTGGGAGGGACCTGGTGGGAGGAAAGTGAATCATGGGGGCGGGTTTTTCCTGTGCTGTTCTTGTGATAGTGAATAAGTCTCATGAGGTCTGATGGTTTTAAAAGTGGGAATTTCCCTACACAAGCTCTCTCTTTGTCTGCCTCCATCCACATAAGATGTGACTTGCTTCTCCTTGCCTCCCGCCATGAGTGTGAGACTTCCCCAGCTGCATGAAAATGAGCTCTCCATTAAACCTTTTCACTGGTAAATTGCCCAGTCTTGGATATGCCTTCATCAGCAGCATGAGAATGAACGAATACAGTAAATTTGTACCAGTAAAGTAGGGCACTACTGAAAAGATACCCGAAAGTGTGGAAGTGACTTTGGAACTGGATAACAGGAAAGGGTTGGAAAAGTATGGAGGGCTCAGAAGAAGACAGGAAAATGTGGGACAGTCTGGAACTTCCTAGAGACTTGTTGAATGGCTTTGACCAAAATGCTGATAGCAATATGGACAATAAAGTCCAGGCTGAGGTGGTCTCAGATGGAAAGGAGGAACTTGTTGGGAACTCGAGCAAAGGTGACTATTGTTATGTTTTAGCAAAGAGACTGGTGACATTTTGCCCCTGCCCTGGAGATCTGTGGAACTTTGAACTTGAGGGAGATAATTCAGGGTATCTGGCAGAAGAAATTTATAAGCAGCAAAGCATTCAAGAGGTGACTTAGGTGCCGTGAAATGCATTCAGTTTTAAAAGGGAAACAGAGCATAAAAGTTCAGAAAATTTGCAGCCTGACAGTGCGATCGAAAGAAAATCCATTTTCTAGGGAGAAATCCAAGCCAGCTGCAGAAATTTGCATAAGTAACGAGGAGCTGAATATTAATCACCAAGACAATGGGAACAATATCTTCAGCGCATGTCAGAGACTTTTGCAGCAGGCCCTCTCATCACAGGCCTGGAAGTTTAGGAGGAAAAAAATGGTTTTGTGGACCACGCCCGGGGTTCCTCTGCTGTGTGCAGTCTAGGGAGTTGGTGCCCTGTGTCCCAGCCACTCCATCTGTTACTTAAAGGGGCCAAGGTACAGCTCAGGGTGTTTATTCAGAGGGTGGAAGCCCCAAGCCTTGGCAGCTTCCATGTGGTGTTGATCCTGCCAGTGCACAGAAGTCAAGAATTGAGGTTTGGGAACCTCCGCCTAGATTTCATAGGATGTATGGAAATGCCTGGATGCCCAGGCAGAAGTTTGCTGCAGGGGCAGGGCCCTCATGGAGAAACTCCGCTAAGGCAATGTGGAAGAGAAATGTGGGATTGGAGTCCCTACACAGAGTCCCTACTGAGGCACTACCTAGTGGAGCTGTGAGAAGAGGGCCACCATTCTCTAGACCCCAGAATGGTAGATCTACCAAAGGTCTGCACTGTGTGACTGGAAAAGCCACAGACACTCAGCATCAGCCCCTAAAAGCAACTGGGGAGGTCTGGGGGGCTATACCCTGCAAAGTCACAAGGGCCGAGTTGCCCAATGTCATGGAAGCCCACCTCGTGCATCAGCATGACCTGGATGTGAGACATGGATTCAAAGGAGATCGTTTTGGAGTGTTAAAATTTGACTGCCTTACTGGATTTTGGACTTGCATGGGGCCTGTAACCCCTTGGTTTTGGCCAATTTCTCCCATTTGGAATGACTGTTTTTATCCAATGCCTGTACCCCATTGTATCTAGGAAGTAACTAACTTGCTTTTGATTTTACAGGCTCGTAGGTGGAAGGGATTTGCTTTGTCTTGGATGAGACTTTGGACTGTGGACTTTTGAGTTAATGCTTAAATGAGTTGACACTTTGGGAGACTGTTGGGGAGGCATGATTGGTTTTGAAATGTGAAGATATGAGATTTGGGAGGGGCCAGGTGTGGAATAATATAGTTTGACTATGGCCCCACCCAAATCTCACCTTGAATTTCCGTGTGTTGTGGGAGGGACCTGGTGGAAGGTAATTGAATCATGGGGTTGGGTCTTTCCCATGCTGTCCTTCTAATAGTGAATAAGTCTGAGATCTCATGATTTTAAAAATGGGAATTTCCCTACACAAGCTCTCTCTTTTCCTGCTGCCATCCATATAAGATATGACTTGCTCCTCCTTGCCTTCTGCCATGATTGTGAGGCTTCCCCAGCCATGTGGAACTGAGTTCTCCATTAAACCTCTTTCCTTGGTAGATTGCCCAGTCTTGGGTATGTCTTTATCAGCAGCATGAAAACAAACTACTACAGTAAATTGGTACCCATAGAATGGGACACTAATACACCATTGACGTGTACACTTTAATATTGCTGAATTATGTGTGTGAATTATATCTCAAGAAAACTGCAATACAGAAAGAGAGGATAAAGAACAATGATATAGCTCAAGTTAAAGAATGAATAATGAGTCAGAAAAGTAAAGGGAAACCTTCCTGGACATTGAGGGCATGTACTGAGGCATGAGTCATGAAAAAATATGAAAGTTCAAGAATAATGAGAAATGTAGCAAGAGTTGTTCAGGGGATGAGGGAAAGGAAAGGTGAGAAGATGAAGGTAGGGCAGTTAGGTTCAGAAAAATATGTATGATTTTATTGGTAAAGGCTCCTTAGATCATGAGAAAGGGTTTGGATTTTAATTTGTCATAGAGTACAGTGGGAAATACACAATAATGAGGAAATGACTAGGGGAGAGAAGCAGTGGAACCTCTTTAAAAGTTCATGGATAAACTAAAGAGAGTGTGCATTGTGGCCTGAGGTAAAGAGGTAAAGGGGTGACAGGGCATATGGTTTAGAGGACTATGTATTTGTTACATTAGAGTAAGAGGGTTAAAATGGAAGTCCTGAAATAGAAGGAGTATGACAGAAGAATAGTTAAAATTGGGAAGCAAAGAAGGCAAGACAAAAGATGAGTGAGGTTTCTAGCTGAAAAAAGGAAAAAAAAATTCAGATTATAGGAAGAAGAGAAGGCTTAAAGATAACAAGTTTATTTTGGAGGATGTTAAGTTTGAGATTCTGTGGATTTTCCAGTGGAGATTTTTCCTTCATGTTTTCAGCATATTTTGATTCACAAGTTTTTACTAAAATGAGGGAAGGTTTTCTTCAGAATATGAGTAAATGGGTGTAAATGAGACAGAAATAAGTGATCTTTCATTCTTCCGAAGTCTCATGCACTTTAACACTTAGTGTAGAACTCTCTACATCTATATTGTAATTCTATATTGATGATTACAGGATGCCAGCTTGAAGTTTTGAAAATTTAGAATTCCTTTTGCAGAAAATCACCATATAAAAATGATTTTATATCTCATTTAGTACTTTGCCATGGTAGGGTTTCTACCTATGCAAGGAAGCTGGAGTCCTGAAAATTCAAATGCATTACCCAAGGTTATCCATTTAGTCAGGGAGAAAACCAAATCTCAAGACAAGTTGTTTTATTTGTTTGTTTAATCTGCTAGACTAGTGATATTTTTACTGTGTTCCTCTGCCTCCCTCAAAAGGCAAAATACATTGGATAAAGAGTCACGAAAGAGGTGGTACAAAATGTACATTTAATGCTCAGATTTGATAATATGTGACTTTTGATAACTGCTTCAGCTTTCTGAGCATCAGTTTTCTTCCAATAAAATGAGAATGTTTACCTAACCAATATTGACAAGGAACTCTGAGATTCTTCTTAATCAGCTTTTTAATTTGAGATCTCTTTTTTTTTTCTAGTGGATGACTAGCAAAACAAGAGCAAACCAAAATGAAACAAAATAAAAATTATCAAGTCATATCAAGCACACATGTGGCAGATACATTTTGTGATAGATGACCATTTTTATATAAAAACATACAGGTATGTGTAGGTATTAATATATCCTGGACAGAAGCAAATCCCATCCCTTCCCCTCATGTCCCACCATCTTTATTACATGAATCTCTTGTTTACATTCATTTTTAAGATTTTATCTTATTAATGCTGGCATTTTTTTCTTTAAAACAAAACATCTTTAAGCAAAAATTAGAGCATTGTGCATTTTTATTTAGTTTTACAAATTCATATAATACTTCTCAATATTAAAAGCTTTTTTGTATTTAAGAAGATTTCCATATTTCTTGTTATATAGTCAAGGGGATATTCTGAAACCCTATGGTAGATCTGTTTGGCAACTGTGGAATGATACATAAGCACTTCGGTGCTTTAATAGCAACATTGACTTCGATACCTGGAAAATTATTTTTAGCTAGATACTCTTCTTCAATATTTAGAACATGACAACACAAGAAGCAGAACTACCATTATGGCATCTCATTTCTCAGTTCTAACATTTAGCATTTTCTTAGCACACAGAGCAAGTGAAACATGACATGGAGGTAGAACCCATTTACAGATTGAAATGGAGAAATTGCCTCCAACAAAAGCAGAACAGATAGGAAAGCCTCGAGGAGCTGTATCCTAAAGGGAAAGGTACAACCTGCCATTTCCACTTATTGTTGCAAAATTGAATGCTAATTAGGATAGTCTTTTTTTTTATTGCAAAAGCTTTGTAACAAAAATAACTATTTTGAGAAAATTGTTTTCATGTCCTTTTTTTAGCATTTTATTTTTAAAAAGTGCCTAAATTTACTTATGACTATGTGAAAAGTATTCAATACCTCCACATACATAAGTGATTATTATTCTGATTCCTATAGATTTTAATTTTATATCTTTGTAGATTAGACTGATATATAATGAGAACATTGTTTCAACTGATGCCTTTTGACATGTTTTGGGGTCAAGACTTCCTAATTTATCTTCTGTATCTTCTGATCTGTTCTCCCCATTATTTTTGTGTCTGCCTCCTTCCAAATATCTTTCCCTTTTGCTAGAGTGATCTTTTAATAACAAAAAGCTAGTCATGGGCTTTTTATATCTTGCTTTTATAAACCATCATAAATTTATTGAATCAATTCATATTTATTAAATATCTCCAACTATTAAGATTCAGCTAGTCAATGTAGAAGACACAAATATTGGTAGAATACAGTATTTTTTTCAAAAAATACAATCTAGTAATAAAGACACAAGAGATACCCATGTCAACATCAACCTTTACATTATGTAGTATTTCAGGATTACAAATGTCTCCTGTATATTATTATATGTGATGGTTACAATCTTTGAGGTAGGCAGGGCATACAGATGTATTCATTCATTTTTCCTGTCCACCAATATTAGTGAGCATTCACAATGTGCCAGGAATTGAGGTAGATTCTTGGGATGGAGAAAAGACAGAATCCACATTTTTTATGAGTTCAGAGATTAGCTGAGAGAAAGAACAAAAAGACAATGACAGTCCTCCGTGGCAAGGGCTCAATAGGGGGCGCAGCATCTTGTAGGAGAATGCAAAGGACAGAGAGCCATTCCAGACTCACCCAGTATTGAAACAGGGCTCTCTGCTCCTTAGGAATCACAAGACTTAAAACACGGTATTTCACTTCCTCCAGCCTCAGTTTCTTATCTGTAAAATGCATCTATTTCATATAGCTATAATGAGGACTAAATAAGGTAATCTAGGCACAGTATCTGATACATGAATTAGAACCAGCTCATCGCATCTCAAGGAACATGTTGATCTACTTGAACTCTCTCTCTCTTTCCCTCTCTCTCTCTTTCCCCAGCTCCATCTAGCTCTAAGTGCTTTTGTCTCTGCTCTCAATTGTCAGACATTTTGCAAGATAAACAGCAGCATGCAATGGGCTGGAGAAAGAAACAGCAGAAAGCACAGTCGAAAGAGCCCAGGGAACCATCCATCACAAAGCCATCCTGCCTTAAAGTGAAAAGTGCAATTCCCTAAGACTCTGGTAACACCCATGACTGAACATCCTGCTAATTTTAGCAAAATAATAAATATGAATAAGTCTTGTTTATGAAACTGTCTGCAGCCAGATGAGAGTGGGAAACGTTAGCTTGCAAGAAATAAAAACCGGAAGCTCTTCCCTTTCGATCGAAACCATGATTAACAAACATTTGTGAAATCCAAGTTGTTCTCAAAAGATCAGAACTGGTATGATTCAGTGATGGCAGCTTGCTAGAAATTTTTTTGTGTGTGTGCTTGCAAAACCAGCATCAATGATGTAGGAGAGTTGAAAGAGGCAGAGAGGATTAATGAAGGAGACTATTTAGGTTGGTATGGGCTAAAAACCCAATGAAATAAAAATTGTAACCAAGGAAGAACAACAGAATATTAAAGGAAAGTATTTTCTTCGATGTTACTGCCTGCTCAGCTTCTTGGAGAAAAAAATGAATATTTTTAGATCAGATTTAGAGAAATGAGTAATAAGAAAAGGGATAAAGGATTCTTTCTTAAGTGATTGTATCTTCTTTCTTCAACTGTGTTGTAAGTTCCTGGAGGATAGGGTTTACAAATTTCCTTCTCTGTTCTGTAGTGCCTGGAATAGGCCTTACATAGAGGAGGGGTTCAGCAATAAGTCCAGCTTGGCAGACAGCTATTAATAGAAGATAAGCAAAGCACAGGACATTGAATATTATTCTTTTATGTGAATTTATATTGACATTACTTTTTCTTCATTGAAAAAGAAAGAGGACAAAAAATAGAAATGAAGCTATGTCTTGTTACTTGATTTCACTTAGCATAGAGATTGGCCCACAGTGAATGTTGAATAAACATTTATTGAAGGAGTTAGTAAGGAAAACAACAGTATGCAGATATAATAGACAAGAAACACTGCATTTCTGTTGCTTTGGTAAAAAGACACATCCTCCTCTCGTTCCAGCAGGTAGACTGGCAGCAGCAGCAGCAGAGGTAAATGCAGCTGCCTTTTCTTAAAATAGGACCATGGGTCTACAGGTTAGAAACTGTGACCTCCTGAAGGGTGTGAGTCACCAGTTCTGCCAGTGGCTAGCACCCAGCTGGGTCCTTGACAATACCTGTGGAGTTGATTGAGCCATTTATTGTAGTTTACCTTTCCTCATCTCATTTCTTATCTGCCCAGGTTCTCCAGGTTTACCTGAAAATTTCTCCATTTACCCCATAAAAGCAAACAAAAATTTCAACTTTTTTGATATTATGTCCTTGTACATTTGTTGTCTTTCTTTCCTGATCGTAATATGATCTTTTGGAAAGGAAGCCTTTTGTGAGATATGGAACATGGATCTCCCGTCCACTTTCAAAGCCTCACACAGCAAAAGCTTTGAATTTATGATGTGTTCACCCTGGATTTCAGGCATGTCTTGGAATGTCAGGAGGACTTTTTGTTTTGTTAAAAACAAAGATCTAGTTACATGAGGTATCACGTCTCTCTGATCACAGAGTTCATTCACGCAATAAACAAATATTTATTGAGTACCAACTAGGTAGCAAAGTGCTAGGCTTAGAAAGCTATGACCTCTGCCCTCAGCGAAGATATACAATGAGCAAGTAAAGTAAGTATTTCAAAGAATTATGGAATACTATGGAAGCATATTACAAGATGATCTAAGCTAGTTTAGGGAAGGGGGTCAGAAAATACTTTCCTAGGGAAATGATATTTATGCTGAAACCTGAAGAGTGAACTGAGTCACACATATGTGGGTCAAAGAAAGGACAGTGGGCCATGGTTAAGAGATGAAATGTGGTTTTGAGGGCAGGATGGTGTCTGTCACGTCGGTCCTATCCTGGATTAGTTTATTTCAATTGACACCTGAGACCAAGTGCAATGTCAAAATAAAGAGGGTGAGGGCAGGGAAGCTGGTGGCTGGTAGTAAGTCTATAAAAGCTGGAGACTCTCCTCTGGGAGTCCAGTGTCTATTGCTTCCATGTTGAAAAGAAATTATTGCAATGACTTTTGTAACTCAGAGACACCATTGCACATATTAGCGGGCAGGAGGGCTTACTTTTTGTAAGCACCAACTATAATACAGTTACCACAGCAGCAAGTCAAACAAGTGCAGGGAAACAGACAAGATGGTAGTGTGATGATCACATACTTCAAGGCGATCATTCTCACATGCTCCACATTGCAGCCACTGACATTTTAAAAGCACAGATGTGATAACAGATACATTGTCATGCACCTGCTTATTTGCCCTCTCTTTGCTCTAGGAATTAATTCCAAACATGGCTTACAGTTCTCTTTATGACTTGGTCCTTTGATACATTTATAAATTTGAATATATTTAATATATATTCATAATAATACAAATTTATTCATATTATTTGTATATTAAATAGTATATTTAACATATTCAAGTATGTAAATATCAAGATTTATTATTTATTAATTATCCTCCACTTTTCTACCCATCCACCCAACACATACACACACACTCACACACACACACACACACACACAGTATATCCTGTATTCCATTATTCATCCATTTTTAACTCTGTTTACATCTCTGGAATCACCATACTCTCTGAACTGCAGACTTGCATTTGTTGCCTCCTCTGCTTAGTATTTCTCTGTCCCACCTCCCCTCTGGCCCCTCTGGCTTGACAAACAACTACTTGTTCTTTAAAATCTCCTCTAGAAATCCTTTCCTACAGCCCCAATACTAGATATGGTACCCCCTTCCTAATTTCAAAGCACCCTACACATGTTTCTCATAATGTTTATGCTACTTTATAGTAATTGTCTGATTACTTGTCCTTATCTCTCATAAGACTATAAGCTCCCAGAGGACAAATGCAGTGTCTTATGATTCACAACATCGTTCCTGTCACATGGTAAGTGCTTCCTATATATTTGTTGGATACATATCTGACTTCTCCTACTTTTATGACAGTTACTGCCATGCCCCATATCTGACTTGATTCCATGTGTATCTGCTTGTATTTGCTGCCTGCTTGTCCATGTTGGAGAGAGGAAGCCCAGAGCTTTGTTTGCCTAACAGAAAGATGGGTGTAGTTTTAGTTGTTTTTCTAAAAATGGCATCTAGTTCTGCCAAGTTGTCTCAAGCATCCTGTCAGTGCTTCAGAAATTGTTTCTTTGTTGGAAATTTGACCTCATCATCAACAGATATATTTAGCTCTGAGATCTAATAGATGTCTTTTTGAAGGACTACTGAGCAAAGATAACTGAAATCTCCAGGTGTGCCTCTCCCAAGAAGGTCTACTAAATAAATCTGTTAGCTGGTGGAGCCTCTTCCACTTGTGCTTCCTGGGGCATGCTTCTTGCTTCTGTTTGTGGCCACCAACCCTGAGGAGCTGGGGTGACTCACTTGAGTGGTAAATTTGGGAAGAAAAACCAGGATACTTAGTTAACTGTGGCTGTTTTCCTCTTGGGTGCAAGCTGCTCACAAGGAACAAAATGCTCACAGGAAACAGAAGCTCTGTTTTTCATGGGGCCAGGCCCTGTCTCTGAGGTGGTGGTAGTGGAGTTGGCTTGGGTGAGAAGTCTGTTAAATGAGATACTCTATTAGAAAGGCCACCGGGTGTCAGGGTAAGCTATGTGCTCCAACTTGGCCTTTACCAAGGTTATGCTTCAGTTTCCCACCTGCCATTTGTCTTATTTATCAATTTGTCTAAAATATAAATGAGAAAGACACTTTCTCAAAGACCCCTAGTAAAATCCAATCTTTAAAAAAGTGCTTGGGAACTCTGATGATTCTTCTCCTAAGCTGCACTCTAGCTCCATCGATATCCCTTCTTCAGAAAGTTACTTATGAACAGACCCTGGACTTCTATATCTGGGGATTGATTCCAGCTTCAGCAGAAGGCAAAAATTTGGCTTACAGTGGATACAAAAGGAGGATTTAATTTCACTGACTCCAGTGTCTGCTGGCTTGATTGGTATCAGACTCTTTGCCTTTACTTAAATTCAATGTTTGTGTGTACCTAGTACGTGAGCACTTGGCTGAGTTCTAACTCATTGCCATGTCTTTATTACTGATCTCCCCACAAGTCTCAGGTCCAGACCACTTCCATGTTTGCTCCAAACATTTGTTCTGAGGATTTTTTTGGTCCTCCTGGGACTGACTTTCCACATATCTGTATTCCATCACTCCCACACACCTGGCATAGTGAAATTAGAGACATCAGCTGTTATGTTGCTTTTTATAAAAGACAGCATGGCATAGAGAGAAATACCAGGGACTTTACCACCAGAAACATCTAGTTTGAATTATATTCCAACATTTACTTGTTCCACGATCTTAAACAATAGTAATGGCAACCACCAATTACTGACTGCTTACTCTGTGTTGGGCATTTTCTGAGATATGTTATGTCTAATATCTGTCAATCAGATATGCCAGCTTTGCAAGATATCGATATCACCACCATTTAAAAATGAGAAAGCCAGAGAGGCTATGGATTACATATAAAAGTACTTTAGCATAGTTCCTGCCACATGATAGGCATTCAAAAGAAAAAAATTGCTTAACTTTCCTTCTTGTTTTATTTTTATAATAGTTTTACATGTAGAAGATTCAAAAATCATAATGATAAGCAATATATGCCCTAAGAAATTTTGATCACTTCCCTGTCCTCATTTACCCTATTCTCCTTCATTCCCTGTACATAACCATTTTTAACCATTTTGTATTTTTTGTTTATACTTATACTATTTATTTATGCAATATAGGAAGATATGTGTACATACACACATGTATTTTCCACCTTTGAAATAACTTGCAGCATAATATGTTCTCTATAAAATATCACTATTTTTTTATTGGAGAAGTCCAATATCTTTGTGTTAACCTTGATTTCTCTTTTCCCTCAGTCCCAACATACAATCCTTTACAAATCTTGTCTACCTTCAGAATGTAAATTGTATAACCATTTGTCACTTCCTCCACTCTGGTCCAAGTCACCACCCTCTCCATCTTGGATTGCTGCAATAACATTCTGCTTTACTCTGGTCCAACTCACTCCCATCTCTATCCTGGATTACTGCAGTAATATCCACAACAGTCCCCATGGCTGTGCCTGACCTCCACAGTTATTCTCACAGTAGTCAGAATAACTGTTTCAAACTCAAAGTCAGATTGTGTCACTATTTTCCTAAATCTAACTGTAAAATGCACCCCATTAAACTCAGAGTAAAATCTAAAGTTATGACACTGGAGTACTTGTTAGCTATTGCTGTGCAACAAACCACCCCAAAATTTAGTGGCTTTAAACAGCAACCATATGTTTCTTCATGATTCTTTAATTTGGGCTGGGTTTACCTGAGTTTAGTCTTCTTCTGGACTCACACAAGGGCCCCATGGGTTGCCAGGAGTCACTTGTCTAGGATTCACCTGGGACTGATGACTTCAGAATACTTTTATTCATACATATGGCAGTTCTCTAGGGTCGTTGGCTCAGATGCCTCAGTTCTTTCTTACATGGGCTTTCCAGTAGGATAATCTGTAGCAGGATCACTTCTTTATATGGCCTTCTTAACTTCATAACTTTTTTTTCTCATAACTTCTTTCAGGAGTGTAAACATGAAAGTAGCAAAGCCTCTTGAGCCTAGGCTTTGGCACTCAGATAACATCACATATGCCACATTCTATTTGTAAAATCAAGTCCAAACTTCCAGCTTAGAGTCAAGGTTTGTATAAATATGCTTCATATCTTGAAGAGAAATTTCAATCTACCACAACTAGCCTATGAGCACTTCATGATCTGACCCCTGAGACCTCATCACTCATTCTCAGCCACACTCACTCTGTGCTAGCCATACAATTAGCCTCACCATTGTTCCTCATAACGACCAGGTGTACACCAGCCTCAGGTAAGTTTCTTCCGCGTGGGCTGTGGTTTGTCTACACATCGCTCACTTCCTCATTTCCTTTAAGTCTTTGCTGATCTGTCCCCATTCAGTGAGGTAAACCCTTTTAAATCATAGGCTTCATTCATTGAACATCCTATCTACATGTTCTTTACTTGTTCTTATTTTATTCATAACACCTATTTTCTTTTATGTAGAATAATAGCTTACTCATTATGTCTACTTTTCAGTTTTTCCTCCTTCTGCTGGAGAGTGTGAATATTTTTTTAATTTTACTTAAGTTCCGGGATACATTTGCAGAATGAGCAGGTTTGTTACATACATGTACACGTACCATGGTGGTTTGCTGCACCTGTTGACCTGTTCTCTAAGTTCCCTCCCCTTGCCCCCCACCTCCCAACAGTCCCTGGTGTTTGTTGTTCCCCTCTCTGTGTCCATGTATTCTCACTGTTCAACTCCCACTTAAGAGTGAAAACATGCGGTGTTTGGTTTTCTGTTCCTGTGTTAGTTTGCTCAGGATAATGGCATCGAGCTTCATCTATGTCCCTGCAAAGGAGATGATTTCATTCCTTTTTATGGCTGCATAGTATTCCATGGTGTATATTTACCACATTCTCTTTATCCAGTCTATCACTGATGAGCATTTGGGTTGGTTCCATGACTTTGCTATTATACATAGTGCTGCAATAAACATACATATGCATTGTCTTTATAGCAGAATGATTTATGTTCATTAGGTATATACCCAGAAATGGGATTACTGGGTCAAATGGTATTTCTGGTTCTAGATACTTGAGGAATTGCCATACTGTCTTCCACAATGGTTGAACTTATTTACATTCCCACTAACAGTGTAAAAGCGTTCCTATTTCTTTGCAACCTCACCAGCGTCAGTTGTTTCTTGACTTTTTAAAAATCACCATTCTGACTGGCATGAGATGGTATCTCATTGTAGTTTTGATTTACATTTCTCTAATGATGAGTGATATTGAGCTTCTTTTCATATGTTTATTGGCTGCGTAAATGTCTTCATTTGAGAAGTGTCTGTTCATATCATTTGCCTACTTTTTGATGGGGTTGTTTGTGTCTTTCATGTAAATTTGTTTAAGTCCCTTGTAAATTCTGGATATTAGACCTTTGTCAGAAGGTTATATTGCAAAAATCTTCTCCTATTCTGTAGGTTGCCTGTTCACTCTGACGATGGTTGCTTTTGCTGTGCAGAAGCTCTTTAATTAGATCCCATTTGTCAATTTTGGCTTTTGTTGCAATTGCTTTTGGTGTTTTCATCATGAAGTGTTTGCCCATGTCTATGTCCTGAATAGTATTGCCTAGGTTTTCTTCTAGGGTTTTTATGGTTTGGGGTTTTACATTTAAGTCTTTAATCCATCTTGAGTTAATTTTTGTATAACGTTTAAGGAAGGGGTCCAGCTTCAGTTTTCTGCATATGGCTAGCCGGTTTTCCCAGTACCATTAATTGAATAGGAGATTATTTCCCCATAGTTTGTTTTTTGTCAGGTTTGTTGAAGATCAGAAGGTTGTAGATGTGTGGTGTTATTTCTGAGGTCTCTATTCTGTTCCATGTTTGTATGTCTGTTTTGGTACCAGTATCATGCTGTTTGATTATTGTAGCCTTGTAGTATGGTTTGAAGTCAGGTAGCATAATGACTCCAGCTCTCCAGCTTTGTTCTCTTTGCTTAGGATTGTCTTGGCTATATGGGGTCTCCTTTGATTCCATATGAAATTTAAGGTAGTTTCTTCTGATTCTGTGAAGAATGTCAATGGTAGTTTGATGGGAATAGCATTGGAACTATAAATTACTTTGGGCAGTATGGCCATTTTCACAATACTGATTCTTCCTGTCCGTAAGGATGGAATGTTTTTCCATTTGTTTGTGTCCTCTCTCATTTCCTTGAGTGGTGATTTGTAATTCCCCTTGAAGAGGTCTATCACATCCCTTGTTAGCTGTATTGCTATGTATTTTATTCTCTTTGTAGGAATTGTGATTGGGAGTTCATTCATGATTTGGTTCTCTGCTTCCCTACTGTTGATGTATAGGAATGCTTGTGATTTGTGCACATTGATTTTGTATCCTGAGACTTTGCTGAAATTGCTTATCAGCTTAAAGAGTTTTTGGGCTGAGATGGTGGGGTTTTCTAAATATAGAATCATATTGTCTACAAATAGAGACAATTTGACTTGCTCTCTTTCTATTTGAATAGGCTTTATTTCTTTCTCTTGCCTGATTGCCCTGGCCAGAACTTCCAATACTGTGTTGAATAGGAGTGGTGAGAGAGGGCATCCTTGTCTTATGCCAGTTTTCAAAGGGAATGCTTCCGGCTTTTGCCCATTTAATATGATATTGGCTGTGGGTTTGTCATACTTAGCTCTTGTTATTTTGAGATATCTTCCATCAACACCTAGTTTATTAAGATTTTACATGAAGGGCTGTTGAATTTTATCAAAGGACTTTTTTTCAATCTATTGAGATAATCATGTGGTTTTTGTCTTTGGTTCTGTTTATGTGATGGATTATGTTTATTGATTTTCATATGTTGAACAAGCCTTGCATCCCAGAGATGCAGCTGACTTGATTGTAGTGGATAAGTTTGTTGACATGCTGCTGGATTCTGTATGTCAGTATTTTATTGAGGATTTTCACATCGATGTTCATCAGGGATATAGGCCTGAAGTTTTCTTTTTTTTTGGTTGTGTCTCTGCCAAGTTTTGTTACAAGGATGATGCTCACTTCATAAAATGATTTAGGGAGGAGTCCCTCCTTTTCAGTTGTTTGGAATAGTTTCAGAAGGAATGGTACTGGCTCCTCTTTGTACCTCTGGTAGAATTCGGCTGTGAATCTGTCTGGTCCTGGGCTTCTTTTGGTTGGTAGGCTGTTAATTATTGGTTCAATTTCAGTACTTCTTATTGGTCTATTCAGGTTTTTTACTTCTTCCTGGTTTAGTATTGGGAGGGTATACATGTCCAGGAATTTATCCATTTCTTCTAGATTTTCTAGTTTATTTGTGTAGAGGTGTTTATAGTATTCTCTGATGGTAGTTTGTATTACTGTGGGGTGAGTGGTTATATTGCCTTTATCATATTTTATTGTGTCTGTTTGATTCTTCTCTCTTTTCTTCTTTATTCTTCTAGCTAGTGGTCTATTTTGTTAAGTTTTTAAAAAAACCATCTCTGGGATTCATTGATTTTTTGGAGGGTTTTTCATGTTTCTATCTCCTTTAATTCTGCTCTGATCTTAGATATTTCTTGTCTTCTGCTAGTTTTTGGATTAGTTGGCTTTTTTCTATCGCTTTTAATTGTGATGTTAGGGCGATGATTTGAGATCTTTCTGGCTTTCTGATATGGGCATTCAGTGCTATAAATTTCCCTCTTAACAATGCTTTAGCTGTGTCCCAGAGATTCTGGTACATTGTCTCTTTGTTTTCATTGGTTTCAAAGAACTTCCTGATTTCTGCCTTAATTTAGTTATTTACCAGGAGTCATTCAGGAGCAGGTTGTTCAATTTCTATGTAATTGTTTGGTTTTGAGTGAGTTTCTTAATCCTGAGTTCTAATTTGAATGCACTGTGGTCTGAGAGACTGTTTGTTATGATTTCAGTTCTTCTGCATTTGCTGAGTGTTTTACTTCAAATCACGTGGTCAATTTTAGAATAAGTGCCATGTGGCACTGAGAAGAACATATTCTGTTGATTTGGGGTGGAGAGTTCTGTAGATGTCCTCTTGATCCAGAGCTGAGTTCAAGTCCTGAATATCCTTGTTAATTTTCTGTCTCATCGATCTGTCTGATATTGAGAGTGGAGTGTTAATGTCTCCCATTATTATTGTGTAGGAGTCTAAATCTCTTTGTAGGTCTCTAAGAACTTGTTTTATGAATCTGGGTGCTCCTGTATTGGATCCATATATATTTAAGATAGTTCTTCTTGTTTAATTGTTCCCTTTACCATTATGTAATACTTTTCTTTATCTTTTTTTGATCTTTGTTGGTTTAATGTCTGTTTTGTCAGAGACTAGGATTGCAACCCCTGATTTTTTTTGTTTTTTTGTTCTTCTTTTTTTTTTGCTTTCCATTTGCTTAGTAAATATTCCTCCATTCCTTTATTTTGAGCCTATGTGTGTCTTTGCATGTGAGATGGGTCTCCTGAATACTGCACACCAATGGGTCTTGACTGTTTATCCAATTTGCCAGTCTGTATCTTTTAATTGGGGCGTTTAGCCCATTTACATTTAAGGTTAGTATTATTATGTGTGAATTTGATCCTGTCATCATGATGCTATCTGGTTATTTTGCACACTAGTTGATGCCGTTTCTTCATAGTGACATTGGTCTTTATATTTTGGTGTGTTTTTGCGGTGGCTGGTACTGGTTTTTTCTTTCCATATTTAGTGTTTCCTTCAGGAGGTCTTGCAAGGCAGGCCTGATGATGACAAAACCCCTCCACGTTTGCTTGTCTGGAAAGGATTTTATTTCTCCTTCGCTTATGAAGCTTAGTTAGATAGCGAGGATGGGAAATTCCAGTTAAACTGAGTTAGCAGGATTCTGGCTAAAACTGGACAATGGAGAGACAAACACAGAAGCCCAAAAGCCAAGTCCTAGTTACAATGAGAACTCAGAAGAACCTGATCAAAGTTTGGTTAAGGGAAGAATCTTTGTTAGTAGTCAGAAACATTGAAGCTAAGTAAAATTTCCAAAATGCTTATGCATACCTAGCCACCTAACTGAAGTGATGTCATTTACTACAATATTTTCCACAATTCAACTTTTAGAACATATTTGTTTAATTTGTGATGCTCTTCTTAAAGATTTAGGAAACTGAAGCCAAACAGTCTTTCTGGGGGGAGTAGGGGTCTTTCTAGTTGTGTTACGGACAGAGGCTACATTTTCTATATTGATTATTCTTTCAAAGAAAGGAATATAGCATTTTCTATAGGTCATAAATGCATGCACTTGAGAATAAGCCAAGGAATAAATTTATATTGTATAAATGAAGTAGTCAAAGGCACTGTGCAGCCTACCCTGAAACTTGTGGAACAAAGAGCATAATTCAGGGCAGAGGTGATTCTATAGCAGACACCAGCCCCAGAACATTTCATCAAAGAGAATGCTATGTGAAAGACTAATTACTCTGTTGAAAAAAGCACAACTGAAAATACTAATTAATTCACTCTACGATTAAAAAAAGTACTGATGATTTGTTGTTCAAATTGATTGAACTTAATACAGCTAAGACATTTTCAAGCCCTGGGAAGCTAGCTTCATTTTTTAAAATTATTGTGCATGATAGTTTTTTTGGCCATTTCTTTAATGACTAAGAATAAAGGGATTAGACTAGAGAGATTTAGAAAAAATAAGTTAACATAAAACTGAGGAGCACCACTTTTCTTCTGTACTTGTTCTACAGGTTGCTGGGAAATTAACTTCAGCAATTCACTAAAGCCATAAACACAGTAGGGTTTTTCTTTTTTTTTTTTAATGAATTTATACCAGTTTATTCAACTTTATAAAGATATCATAAGTCAAGCAGCAGGAGTATTGGCACAGAGCTCCACCTCTGAAGAACCTGATGAAAACTCATCCTCTGTAACATCTTGTCAGGCTAGTCTTTGGATGGGAAGGTATATAATGCATAAGTACTGTACCCCAAAACTGCTCTCAGATACAATACCAACTGAGAAAAAAAAAGATTTAAGATGCCACAGTAGGGTTTTTCACAAGAACAACCATAAAGCCACACCTTAAAGAAGAATGAAGTTAATAGGGCAGACTATTGAACATCTTAACTTATGCCAAAGATTTCCCTTTGTGAATAAAAATGTATTGATTAACTAACTGGCTATGTTGGCCAAAAAAATAATAGAACCAAGTGAGAGAATTAGGTGTGGAGATACCAGATCAGAACAAATCCATAAGACAGTCACACAAGCATAAGTCTGATAGTCACACATCTCTAGCATATGAGTTCAAATAGATATTATTATTTTCATATATATTAACACTACTAAGGAATAATTTATTTTTAACTTTAAAAGTAAACATTTTATAGCACATTTTTGAGGATTCTGCGATTACTTAAAGTCAGACTCTGTTGTTTATGTTTTTTAAATTGAAGGGTTCAATACAAGAGTCCATAAATAACGTAAAATATAAAATAAAAACCACAGCTCACCCATTTAGTAAATGTCATAGAAGTATATTACAACATTGAAATTTGTTACCAGTGTGGTGACCTAAGATGCCTACTTTTTGATACATGGATATAAACTATTTTAAAAATTAAGATATAAGAAATTGAAACAAAAAGAAGGCAGAACATGAGCTTTTGAAATGAGAATTTTCAAATTGTAAAGACAGGTTCACTGTAGCCTCTCAATCAAACATGTATACCACCTAAATATTATGTTGTAAAGATAGATACGTTTTATGCTCTGATGACTCCTGCTTATAAAATATGTATATAATAACAAAACAGAGCAGATCATCAAATTGAGGCATTAATGTATCCCATGGATTGACAAAGATACAGATTTTATTTCATTGTAATTTCAGGCTTTATAGCTACAAAGTTCATCAAGCCAATATTTTGAATGAATAACTTTCCTTCTGAAAGACTAATAACATTTTCTGTTTAACAATAATACTCCAAATTATACTATAAGGCTACAGTAATCAAAATAGCATGGTGCAACTCTGGGCACATTGACCATGGGTTAGCCTGCTCCATAAGGCATAGTAAATAATAATAATAATAAAACAGTACAAGAAACAGACACATAAACTAGTGAAATAGAGTAGAAAATCTAGAAATAAATTTGCACACCTATAACCATCTGATCTTCAACAAAATTAACAAAAATAAGCAAAAGAAAAAGAACTTCCCATTCAATAAATCGTGCTGGGATAACTGGCTAGCCATATGTGGAAGATTAAAACTGTGCCCCAACTTCTCATCATACACAAAAATTAACTCAAAATGGATTAAAACTTTAAATATAAGGCTTCAAACAATAAAAATCCTAGAAGAAAACCTGGGAAATACCCTTCTCAACATAGGCTTTGCTAAAGAATTTATGGCTGAGTCCCCAAAAGCAATGCAACAAAACCAAAAATTGACAAGTGGAGCCTAATTAAACTAAAGAGCTTCTGCACAGCGAAAGAAATTACCAACAGAGTAAACAGCCTACAGAATGGGAGAAAATATTTACAAACTTTGCATCTGACAAAGGTCTAATATCCAGAATCTACAAGGAACTTAAACAAATCAACCAGCAAAAGCAACGACAACAAAAATCTAATTAAAAAGTGAGCAAAGGACATGAACCAGACATATCTCAAAAGAGGATGTGCAAGTGGCCAACAAACATATGAAAAAATTACTCATTATCACTATCATCATATCACATTATCATCAGAAAAATGCAAATCAAAACCGTAAAATAATCTCACACCAATCATAATGGCTATTAAAAAGTCAAAAAACAACAAATGTGGTTGGGACTGTAGAGAAAAGGGAAGGCTTATACACTGTCAGTGGGAACGCAAACTAGTTCAGCCACTCTAGAAAGCTGTTTAGAGATTTCTCGAAGAACTTAAAATACAGCTACCATTAGACTCAGTCATCCTACTACTTTGGGTATACTGGTATATACTTAAAGGAAAATAATTCATTCTATCAAAGATGCACACACCTGTATGTTCATTGCAATACAGTTCACAATAGGAAAGATATGGCATCAGCTTAGGTACCCATCAATGGTGCATTGAATAAAGAAAATGTACATTTACACCATGGAATACTATGCAGCCATAAAAAAGAACAAAATCTTGTCCTTTGCAGCAACATGGATGGAGCTGGAGGCCATTAACCTAAGCAAATTAATAATGCAAGAACAGAAAAACAAATAGTCCATATTCTCATTTATAAGCAAGTGATAAACAATAAATACACATGAACATAAAAATGGGAACAATAAACACTGGAGACCACTAGAAGGTGAGGGGGCGAGTGGGGCATAAGCTGGAGAACCACCTGTTGGGTACTATGCTTACTGTCTGGGTGATGGAATCATTAGAACCCCAAGCCAGAATGTCACGCAATTTACCCATGTAACAAATGTGCATGTGTACTCTTTAATTGACAATAAAATTTGAAATTTAAAAAAAAGAGGACCCAAAATGCCAAATGACCTTTCTCACTCAGCAATTAATTGTCCATTGCTAATCCAGCTGATAAATTCTCTCAGCCATGCCCACTACTGAGATAGAAGTTTAGTTACTTTTTTTAAATTAAAACTTTTTTTTTTTTTAGAGATAGAATCTCACTCACCCATGCTTGAATGTAGTGGAGCGATCATAGCTCACTGCTGCCTCGACCTCCTGGGCTCAAATGATCCTCCTGCCCCAACCTCTCAAGCAGCTAGGAAGTTAAACAACTTTTAAAGGCAGTCAAATTATAAAACTTTTCAGTTTTGTCTTGAGTCTGACCGATTCTCACTCTTGCATCCTTTCAGTCTCCTTTTACCCAACTACCCCCCATGCCTGCAACATTAGTAAGACAAATGGAGAAAGTTCTTTTAGAGTGGGACAGAGAGGAGACTGTTTTTGCCAACTCTACAGTACATAAAGGATTTGAATTATAGAATAAGGATAAGTATAGAGTCAAAAAAGTTCACACTAGTGAAATATCAAATGTGTAGCCAGAGGAATGTTACTGTCATATAGACGGGGTGTCAAAGTTGGCTTTTTTGTTAAGGTTTATGTGCATATTTATGCACTATCGACCTTTGAAATCTGCCTCTCTTTATTAGGCAATTTTTATAATTAAAAAGAAATTAAAGCTAATCTCTAATGTATGCAGAATGATTGACAGGCTTTCATGTTGAACCTATCCCTTAATTGTCCAACTCATAAAAAACATGCCACCCATTTTATTATTTTAGGATGTTCATATTGTTGATTTACAAAATGTATGAGACTATAAAAAGGATTCAGTTCTGTTATCTGGCCATGGACTTGTCAAACTTCCCACGCAATCAAACGACTGCGTAAACAGATGGGTGTTGAGTTTTGTCAAAATAAAGTGGGAGGCTAGTTCTGGAGATAGAAATCATCCTTAGGGAAATACTAATCCACTGACAGTATTGTAGAATCCAAGCTTTGGTAGAAGTGTGTTTGTCTGGCTTCAACTCTTTAAGGTGCTATAGAGATGGCAATGTGACTTAACCAGTTAGTAGCCCTGGCCACAAACATGGAGAATTTAATGATGAAAATGTGTATCTTACACTACATTGAAATTAAGTCAATTTATAAATTTTTTAAAAAGTGAAACAATCAACTTTGATTTAAATGCTCTCGTGAGTAGGTACAAAAATGATATGAAAGTTTGTTTTTCATAGTTTGAAAAACATGTAAATCAAATTATTAGATTGGTGCAAAAGTTATTGCGAGTTTTGCCGTAACATTGGCAAAAAACAATCTAATCTAATACATAATACGTAAACTTAATTAAGGTGTGCAAAATGTGTCCAACATAGTGATTTAGAGAAAGCACAGAAAAAGCTCTTGCTCCAACCAGATGGGAACTGTTCACCCAAATCCACTCAAATTCTGAGGGACATTAGTTCTCTCTGTTTTTCTAACCTAAATTCTCTGTTTTATCCCTCTCTCATTCAAATGTTTCTGGCTTCTGATTTTCAATA
This sequence comes from Homo sapiens, assembly GCF_000001405.40. Lineage (NCBI taxonomy): Eukaryota > Metazoa > Chordata > Mammalia > Primates > Hominidae > Homo > Homo sapiens. Next base: position 38,528,824 of record NC_000012.12, on the reverse strand, counting down.
TAAAATTCCAGCCACTTCTAAGGCATATTACTTTAGCCCTCCATAATCTCTCTCTCTTTAGAAACACTTAACATTGCACCAAAAAGAGGACTTGGCACTTAGAAGGCACTCAAGAAATATTTCCCGAATAAAAGAGTAAACATGCACAGTGCTTTACAAAGTGGTCTTATACATAACTATGTTTTTGATACTGAGAGCAATCCCACATGCTGGGGATAAGACAGATATTATTCTTTTATTTTTATACTGGCTAACAAATTCAGATAGCTTTATGCCTTATCCTAGAAAGAGCACAGCCCAGGTGGGAACATAGGTTTTGTACCTAATGTAGTTCTCTCACCCCTTCTCCTGCTAGCCCTTTGACCTGGATTATTTGCATCCTGAAATTGCATGCAATAACGTATTCTTTTAAGAATGAAGTTATTCTGAAAGCGTCCATTTTTTATGTAATATTTTTAGAGACTAAATAATTTAAGACATTGCCTTATATGGAAGTAAAAATAGGTATATTGAGGAGAATTCACAAGTCACATTATTTAAAAAAAAGATATATCAAAGATTGACATGGGACAAGCATGTATCTTTTAGAAAGCTTTCCTCTTCATATCTGTTCATGCTTTCCCAAAACACACACACACACACACACACACACACACACACACACAGACACACACTGAGTTGAAGACAGTATTCAGCCCAGAAAAGAACCCAAGAATTACATACAAAAAGTGTAAATACAGAAACAAGAAACAAAAATGAAAAACAAATGAAACCTAACTGCATTCCAGGGAATGATTTCTACTCGGGTGTAGAAAAAGTGCAGAACACAATAGAGGGAATTTCAAGGTAACTCTAACGACCACAAAAGAAAATAAAGGTCAACAAAAAAATAATAATGGAAACATAATTTTATGCAAAGTGAAATGAACATAATAAAGCCTTCCTTATGTTAGCCATGAGTCAGAGAAGGCAATGTCTCATTTTGATTGTCTGCTCCACCCCATGTATACCAGAGGGAAGCCTGCCTTTTGACATAATCCATTCTTTATACAAAATCCCCAGTCAGTTCCCATTCAAAAGAGAGACCCATTTGGGAAACCAGTCTATATAAATATACGAGGATCCTTTCTAAGCTATGTAGAATCTTAGAACAGAGGAATGTTACTGTCATATAGACGGGGTGTCAAAGTTGGCTTTTTTGTTAAGGTTTATGTGCATATTTATGCACTATCGACCTTGGAAATCTGCCTCTCTTTATTAGGCAATTTTTATAATTAAAAAGAAATTAAAGCTAATCTCTAATGTATGCAGAATGATTGACAGGCTTTCATGTTGAACCTATCCCTTAATTGTCCAACTCATAAAAAACATGCCACCCATTTTATTATTTTAGGATGTTCATATTGTTGATTTACAAAATGTATATCAACCTGGTCTTCTATTTGTTAACATAAACACAAAACAAGAATAGCAGAATTGAGGAAAAGCAAAAACCCAAAAGACAGTAGGGGATCCTAGGTTGAATCTGGGAAGAGAAAAAGGGTATTAGTGGAAAAACTGGTGAAATCTGAACAGAATTTGTAGTTGAGTTAATAGTAATGTACCAATGTTTATTTCTTACTTTTGTTAAATGCACTGTGGTAACCTTAGGGGAAGATGAGTGAAGCATATAGGGGAAACTCTGTACTATATTTGCGACTTTTCTGTAAATCTAAAATCAGTGCAAAAACAATTAAAGATTTTTAAAAATCTGAAAGAAAGGATTAGGTGAACAAATGGCTGACAAAGTTTATTAAAAATATAGATCCTAAATTAAAAATAAGTCTAACTAACAGAATGATAACCATTCAAGTTTAAATTAGGGACTGAAAGATGAAAAGGAGGTCTCCCAAAATATAAAACAAGAAGAAAAAGATAGAAAATATTTAAAAATATTAAGAAGCATAAAGAGTTAATCAGAAGGTCCAATAGCCATCTAATAGTAGTTATATAGGAGGGACCACAATAAAAAAAGAAAATATATTAGAAAAACATTAATATTCAGAAATTTTCAGAAGTTAGAGAAGAATAAATCCTCAGAATTAAAGTTTCCATTGAGTGTAAGGCAGGATAAATAAAGATACACATTTATATATCGGGTTGCAATTTCAAAACCTCAAGGATACACCCCCCTCCCCCCAAAAAAATCTTAAAGCTTTTGCAAGAGTAGAGGAGTCAGCTTGCCTGCAGATAAACCAAAATCAAATAGTTATCAAGAATGTGACTTGACCTCTATTTCAGATGACACTGGTTTCAATTCCGATTGTAACACAACTTTATCATAAAACAGTGAACAAACCACTTCTGTTTTTAAGCTACATATTTTTACTTGAATTATGGGCAATAATAGAACATATTTCATTGGTTTAAGTATTAAATGATATCAATGTATACGCATAGTAACCTCACTCTTCGTAAACTCTTGATAAATATTACCTTTATTATGATGATTAAGAATTCTATTGAGTGCAAAAATATTTTTTGAAAACTGAGGAAAAATGATTTTGAAGTTAAATTTCAATAAGCAGCCAAATTATTACCAAACATGAGAGAAGAATAATGACAATTTAAATTATAAACAGGCTCCAACAGTTCAACATTTGCAGACTGTATTGAAATAATTTCCTACAGATTTATAATATCCAAATGAAAAATGGACCCAAGAAAGAGAAAAACATGCAATATATAGACACAATAAAGTGGCAAAGTCAGAGCTGATGCTTCCAAAGATGGAGAGAGAAAAAAATCAAACCATGAAATAAAGGAACAAAAAGACCATTGAATAAAGGAGACTACATAAAGGTCTAAAATAAAGAGACAAATATGGACAATTGCCTCTAAAGTATATAGAATGAATTGCAATGGAAAATAACCAAACACTTAATGGAAGAAAATTATTTATAAATGAATGAAAGTCAGAAGCTTCAGACTGAAAAAAACTATAGAATTAGAGGGAAAATTAATTTTAAAATCTTAAAATTTCAAGACATAGCTTAGTGATATCAGTAAATTATAAACTTTTAAAACTGCATAAAAATGAAGGTGTTCACTTAGAAAGTATGTATGGGGTGCTGTGGGTAGTATGTAGTAGATTACAGAGTTATTGTCAACAATTTTGGAAGCCAGGGACAATGGAGCACCTTCTCTAGATTATAAGTTCTTTAAATTTGCTACATCCTTCAAGATTTTTCTCAAATATTATATTTCTAATGAGGTCTAGTCTGATCATTTACCATTTAAAACTCTAGTTTTTATACTTTCTAACATTTCACTCTTTACTGTCTTACCCCATGCAACTTGTTTTCTAATATGCAACATTATTTACCTATTTTCATGTGCATTGCTTTTTGTCAGTTTCATTCTACTAGAATGCAAGCTTTTGGGGGAATGTGCAATATGCTTAGGACCTGGCATGAGTAGATGTGCAATGGTTATTCATTAAAGGAATGATTAAATAAACATACACTGTTGGGAAGAGTATGGGAAATGGGTTCCCTCATACATGGCTGGTGGGTGGAGTGTGTAAATTGTAAATTGTTACAGGCTTTCAAATAGCAACTTGATAATATATTAAGCTTTAGAAATGCTCATATTCCCCTATTAAGCTTTTATGTTTCTAAGTCTGCATTCTAGAAAATACGCCACATCTACAGAAAGACTTGTAGGATGATTTTTCACTGCAGCATTCTTTGCAATTGCTAAATATTGAAATAACCCAAATGTTCATAAAAGAGAAAAAAACTATGGTATATGTAATCTAGGTAAAACACTGTAGCATGTTTAAATGAACCATTTACATGAAAACAAAATAAAACAAAGCTGAATTATCTGGATATGCATATATAAACAAATATAAGTGAATAAAAAGGATCAGAAAGGGCACAGACTAAGTAGTTAAATGGTTACTTGGAACAACACTGGAAGAGCAGAGAAGGATTAAGTGATGAAAAGTATTAGGAAGACTTCCACCATTTACTACACATCCATATATTTCTACATTGTCTGAATTTTTTACAATGAGGATTTTTCAGATTTTATTGTGTAATATTTTTATGATTGAAAATAAAACAAAACAAATTCTCCATCATAAGAATTTTTTCTAATGAATGATAAAAATGTTTATGATAATATTGATGTCTATTGTTTGTTGTAGCAATGTTACAATAATATATAGCCATTATAATATTATTAATTCTAGCATTTGTTAAAGTCTTATAGTGAGGCTCCTTGCAAATGAATGTACTTACATTATTTCATTTGGTCTTTAAAACCATTCTGGTACTATTGTAATCCTTTTTTATAGGTGAGAATACTGGGGTTTAGACAGGTTAAATAACTTACCCAAAGTTCCGTGGCAAGTATGCAGCAAATTAAGATATGAGTCACATACCATTTTTTTTTAACTTTCCAAAATCCTGCTTCCTAGGCTGTTCTAGTTTTTGTTGTTTTTATTTTTTGGGGGGTTGATTAGGAACAAAAACTATATCTTATATAAAATTGTGTCTCTACATATAGGAGAACTAAATAAAGGTCTTTGGATTATGACTTGAAAAGTGCATAAAGGATATCTACACTATTTTTATGGACATATGCTGCACATTATGATTCAATGCAGGTCTTTTACAATGGCATGATTTTCTCTATTTTAATGATGACATAGCAAAGATTGACTAACAGTTATATCTGCACAAGATTAGAATGCTGTTGGCTTTCCTCCCTGAAAGTTTATATTTTCAACCTGTGGTTACAAAAGTGAATTAAATGTACATTTTTTAGACTTACATTGAACTTTTCTGATGTTCCTAGTTAAATAATGAAACTTAGAATTAATGCTTTAATTTTCCTAAGCTATTTAGTTTATCTGTACTTTCTCTTAATAACGCTTTAGTAATAAATTAGATTCCAAACTGTGTATCTTACCTACACTTAGTTGCAATTTGTGGGATCTGCTTTTTCTATTTTAAATGTGTGCATTGCTTTAGAAAAGCAATAAAGAAATATTAAAAGCATAAATTAAGGCAAACACAAGGCTCTGGAGGAATTTCCAATATTAGATTTGAATACATTTTAAACGAAGAACATATTTCAGGCTCTGAATAGAACCAAATGATAGAAAAGAAACAGCCCATTTACATTCAACCAGTGGCCTCAAGTTTAGGTTCAAATATTTGAGATACTGAATATTGAGTCATCAATCAAACTTCTGATTAGTGGATACTTTCACTCCCGTTAATTTGCCCAATAGAATCAGTGACTATTTCATAAGCATTAATAGGTTGTATTTTCCTTTTCAATACAATGAATTTACAGAAGTACCATGAGTACATGTTTGTATGTTGTTTTCTTGGTATTGACAATTGCTTCCCACTATATTGTGAGTTTCTTGTTGGGCCCCTGCTAAGTCTCTTGGCTGGCTGAAGTCAGAGGTTGGAACCATGATGATGGAACTGGGTAAAAGTGACTGGTTCCCAGAGGTTTTCATGGCTGACCTTGACTTCATTAGTTAGAAACTAAAATCAAATCTAACTGGTTTGTAATAGCTTGACTATTTTGTTTGTTTGTTTGTTTGTTTTTGAGATGGAGTCTTGCTCTGTCGCCCAGGCTGGAGTGCAGTGGTGCGATCTCTGCTCACTGCAACCTCCGCCTCCCGGGTTGAAGCAATTCTCCTGCCTCAGCCCTCTTGAGTAGCTGGGATTACAGGCATGCACCACCACGCCCCACTAATTTTTTTTTTTTGTATTTTTGGTAGAGACTGGGTTTCACCACATTGGTCAGGCTGGTCTTGAACTCCTGACCTCATGATCCGCCCACCTTGGCCTCCCAAAGTGCTGGGATTACAGGCACGAGTCACCACACCTGGCCCTCACTATTTTCATTAAGATAATTTCCTCCTGAAAGGAGGGATACTTTCTTTCCTCTGTAATTTCTCATATTCTTCTATCTCACTAGGTGAATGAAAATGTATTTAACATAGTCCTCTTTAAATTAAGCCTCCCTTTGTTCTTCTCTGATAAAATGGGATATCACTTTCTCATCATATTCTGAATTTATAGGACCTTAAAAGAAAATTAAATAAAATCTGAGTTTGATGAATGATCCAAATGTACTGAGTTAGGTGGTATGGGAGTTGAGGGAAAACAAACAGACTTTTATTCTCTATTTTCCTCCTTTTTACCTCTCCATTTCTTGGAATAAAAGATGCAAAAAATTAACTTAAAGGTAGAACTTTATCTTTTAAAAAGTGAGATTCAAGTTTTAAATTATATAGTAGGAAGAAGAGGGGGGAAAGGAGTGATGTAAGAGATCTAGATCAATGATTTATGCCATAGTTTTATATTGCATCTCCTTGTTGTAAGACTACTACCCATGTGCTAAACACCTTTTCTGCAATTTTTAAGATGGGTACTTACTTCCTGTTGTTAATTCCTTTCTAATTCCCAGAAATGAACAAGAATGTGAAAACAAGCAAAATAATCAACAAACCGTTTTTGAAAATGCATTAATTTTTTTAAATGATAGAAATTCAAATACTGTCTGATTTTATTGATTCTATGAATAAATGTGGTCAAAAGAGTGATGCATTAAGTATGTGTGGACAGGAAGGCTGCTAAGGAGTGTCTCTCCACCTGTAATCATGCTAGGCAAGGAAAATTGGTCTGAGATCAAAATGGGTCATAGTGTCTCACTTGCATTTGTTTCACAAGGATATTACCTAGGTTATGATTTTAGGAGCGTCAAAGGCCCTAAAGTACTTGCTTCAAGTCAGTCTCTGGAATGATCCGTAATTAGAAAACATTTTTAAATAATTTAAGATATTTTGCTTTCAGAAAGCTTCTGGCTAAATTTTCTGTCTTCTAGCTTTTCTTGCTTACTTTTTTCTTCCTTTATTTCTACCCACAAACACTTATTAAGTATTTGCTCTATGCCAGAATTTGATTGGAAATGAGGATAGGAAATCATATAAAGCCCCTGCACTCAACTGTAGAATACAGATTGGGTCAGATTTGTAAATAAGTAAATACAGCAACATTTTATCTATGATAACATGGTTGTACCTATGTGGTACATCAGGATCTTAAAGGAGAGAGGAATCTGAAAGTGTCCTCTAGGAGAATTAACATATTAAGTCATTAGTGAAGCACAGATCAGCTTTCATCACAAAACTAAAACTAATTAATTTTGGCAGGAGCTAAAAATATTTGTTTAGGAAATGAGGTAAGGAATAGGTTAGGGTGGGTCAGTATCAGAGACATTTACAAATATATGTATTTTGTACCCCCAAAAGTGATTAAATTAATAAGAAGTTCCAGAAGGATGCCATCAGGATGCAAAGGAGGAAGAGGTTCCTTCCAGCAAGGAAATACGAAAAGACTGTACACAAGAGGTAGAATTTTTCTCTGGATCTTAAAAATTAGAAATAATATAGATTTATGAAACTGAGAAAGAGAACTTCTAGGCAGTGGGGAGATTACCAAAAAAACATACAAACCTATACACTGCTGCATATGCAGCAACAAATAAAATTGTTCATTTTTTCTGAATAAAGGATATATAAAGTGGCATAGTAGGGAATATACTTGGAGAGGATAAAGGGAAATTAAGTTATTTCTGATCGATTGCTTGATAGTATGTCACCTAGTGAATATCCTGATTTTAGCATTCATCATATTTGATTCACCATATCTTAGGAATCATATTTGTAATTACTTGTTCACATAATTGATTTTCTCTCAGAGCTGGATATTTTCTCAAGATTTGGGGCTGACTATTCATTATTAAAATTACAGAACCCAGCTCAATCTCACAAAAATTACTGACCACTTACTATGATGCAGAGTGCTAAATACATTAAAAGGGACAAGTAAAAAAAAAATAGAAAAAACTTCCTACTGGGAAAATATAAAAAACAAAAATAAATGATTAAAATATATTTCAAGGGTGGGAAAATTATACCTTTAAATACGAAAGACCTCACCATTAAGATGCCATTTGTGCTAAGACTTGTAAGAGAAGGAACTATTCATACAGGTATTCAGCAGAAGCAAAGCTAG